>NC_000015.10:91441278-91592793 GCF_000001405.40 Homo sapiens | reverse complement strand
CGAATCCATGGTGAAAAAAAAAACACAAACAAACAGACCAGTGATTGCCTGTCAGGGGAAGGGCTAGAGCTAAGCATTAAGTGAAAATGTACATGAGTGAAATTCCCAGACAATTGTAGCATTTTCTATCTTGCCAAGGGATCTGGTTACATACATAAATGCACTTGTGAAAATCATGGAATTAAGACTTTTATATGTGTTGCTTGTTAATTTTATTGCAAATGTAAAAAAATAAACAAATACTGAATTCTAATTTGAGAAATGCATGCTGAAATATTTATTGAGAAATGTAATGGTATCATTTCTTTGAAATGCCTCAATAAAATAAGATCTACTAAAGATGGATAGAAGGATGGACAGATGGACGCATATATAATAAAGCAAATATTATAAAATGTTAATTATGGAGTCCAGGCAGTAGATAAATGATTCTTCACTGTAAAATTCTTTCAACCTTCCTGTATGCATGAACATTTCCATAATAAAATGTTGAGGAAAAAAATCCACTGAATATAATAGGGAACAAAAAATATAAAATAAGTATTTTTGACACCAGTGAAACAAGAACATATGTACAGCCACAAAGCACAAAGAATGAAACATGACTGAGTCTGTCGACCAAAAGGGCATGCACTTACCCAAGAACAATTGATACAGAAAGATAAATGCCAAGACGTAGCTTCTTGAAGTTGCTGAACTTCAAGGATAAAACAATAAATCTTACAGCCAACCAGGTAGAAAAATTATTCACATCAAGGAGAAAAAAATTCAGGTTGACCTCATACTTCTTCACTAAAACAGCCAATGTCTGATAATAGTGGAAAAATCTTTAACAGGCCCAATTACCTTTCAATTAAAACAAAACAAGGCAGAATTAATAACACAAACAAGTGAATAAGAATTCACTATTTCCTGGATCCTGAACTTTTTTATAAAACTGTTTGAATGTAGTCAATTCTCAGATGAGTCCAAACATGGATAGAAAATAAAATCTCAGGGCTGGGTGTGGTGGCTTACGCCTGTACTGCCAGCACTTTGGGAGGCCGAGGGGGGTGGATCATTTGATGTCAGGAGTTGGAGACCAGCCTGGCCAACATGGTGAAAACCTGTCTCTACTAAAAATACAAAAATTAGCCAGGCACGGTGGTAGGGACCTGTAACCCCAGCTATGCGGGAGGCTGAGGTAGGAGAATTGGTTGAACCTGGGAGGCGGAAGTTGTAGTGAGCCAAGATCACTCCACTGCACTGCGGTCTGGGTGATGAAGTGAGACTTCGTTTCAAAAAAAAAGAGAAAATAATAATAAAATCTCAGTAAAGGACAGAATATATAAGAACTATTTGAAACCTTGACTACATTAGGAATGAAACTAACCATATCAAAAGATGGTGCTTGAGAACAACTAATCTTACCACCTTACCCGGATGGCTTTATCATAGTTCTACTGAAAGGTGTATTGTATCTGATTAGGAAATACAGTCATGAGGGATAAAAATCAAAATTATATAAAAAGGTATCCACTAAGAGGTGTCCTCCCACCACTTTCTCCATCAATCCTATTTCACTCCTCAGTTAGAGAACCACTTTTGTTAGTGCCTGGGTTTTTCCAGCAATTATTTTGTTTTTTAGACAGGGTCTCACTCTCTCACCCAGGCTGGAGTGCAGTGGCACGATCCTGACTCACTGTAACCTCCGCCTCCTGGGTTCAAGCAATTCTCTTGCCTCAACCTCCCGAGTAGCTGGGACTACCGGCATGCGCCACCCCAGCCAGCTGATTTTTTGTATTTTTAGTAGAGATGCAGTTTCGCCATGTTGGCCAGGGTGGTCTCAAACTCATGACCTCAAGTGATTCACCCGCCTCGGCCTCCCAGAGTGCTGGGATTACAGGTGTGAGCCACCGCGCCCAGCCTCCCAGCAATTCTTTATGCAAAACTAAATTAATACAAAGGTGATTATTCTCCGCCTTTCATCCACAAAGTGTAGCATACTGTATGCACTCTTTTGCACCTTGCTTTTTTCACATGACTGTACGTGTTAGAGAGACGTTTCTATGTCAGTATTAATGGGACATTCCTCATCCTGTCTTGACAGCTGCTGATCCTTCCATGAGGCAGTTGAGCCAAACACTTCTTATGAATCGCTTCTGATCCTCTTGGCTTCACTTGTCTCTGGAGCCTTGGTCCACTCTTTCCAATCCTAGTCTCACTATTGTGACTGCTAACTGTCGTCCAGTGAAATTCATGAGGGCACCATCTAAAGGTGCCTTCCCTAAAACCTCTCCTGACCCTTCCTGCACCAGGCTTCCGGCTTAGCTGTAGCCCAGGATGTTGCAGAAGAGACAGACGTGTGGCTTTCATTCCAGGCACTTCCCTGGGCCTCTTCCTCTTCTGCAACATTTTTGCCAAACTTTTGCCCAGCGAGAGACAGGAGCTTGTGGATAGATTTCTCTCCCTTCCTCCTTTCCCTGGCCACCGGAAACTGACCTGACATGCATGATACTGGAAGATCCCCACAGGATTCAGCGTCCTGCAGACACTTTAACACCAAGTGGTGCTGACTTCGTAAAGCTCCTTCCTTTTCCTCTTTCTTCTTTCTTGCCTAACTTTACTTTTTTCTCACTGCTGCTTCTCTGGAATTACATTTCTGATGATAGTTGCACTTAAGCTTTTCTCACAGATTTCACGCTCTGGGAGACCCATCCTGAGATTAATCGTGTATTTATTAACTAGGCCTGCGCTGCCCCTGGCCACATGGAGTTATGAATCCTGGAAATGTGGGTAGTGCTAATAGAGATGTGCTATGAGGATTATATGAAAATGGAATGCAAAATATCTCATTCACAATTTTTATATTGATAACTAATTGAAATGAAAAGACTCGCTATATGGGCTAAATGAAATATATTATTAAAATAAATTATACCTGAGTCGTTTTACTTTTTTAAAATGGACACCAGAACACTAAAAATTATAAAGTGACTCACATTAAATTTTGTTAGACAGCGCTGAACAGAAACCTTATTTGATGAGACTTGGGTTCTAATTATTTGCTATGACAAAAATGTGTATGGAATAAACTATGTATGTATGGGTTTATCGGTAGGAAAAATCCTCAGAAGTGAAATTTCTGAGTCAAAGATGATATGCATTCGGTAATTGTGACTGATAATGAGAAATTTCTCTATGGGGTAATACTGCTTTGTGCTCCTTTCAGCAATGTGTGGTAGACCCTGTTTTCCCACAGCCTGCCAACAGGGTATGCTGTCAGACTTAATGGATTTTGCCATTCTGACAGGTGAATATGGTAACTGCAGGTTTTTAAAGAATTTTTTTTTTTTTCTTTGAGACAGAGCATTACTCTGTTGCCCAGGCTGGAGTGCAGTGTGGCACAATCTTGGCTCACCGCAACCTTCACCTTCCAGGTTCAAGCAGTTCTCCTGCCTCAGCCTCCCGAGTAGCAGGGATTACAGGCATGCACCACCACGCCCAGCTAATTTTTGCATTTTTAGTAGAGACAGGGTTTCGCCCTGTTGACCAGGCTGGCCTCGAACTCCTGACCTCAGGTGATCCACCTGCCTCAGCCTTCCAAAGTGCTGGGATTACAGGCATGAGCCACCGTGCCCAGCCTGCATTATTCTTATAATCAGTTGTCTTGAGCATCTTTTTATGTGTTGAGGAGCCACGTGCATCTCTTTCTCTGTGAATTATATATTCATATACTTTGCCCATTTTTCCTAATGGGCAGTAGGTCTTTTTCTCTCAATTTCTAGGAGGTTTACATTTATTAGAAAGAATAGCCTTTCACCTTTGATATAAATTGCAAGTACTTCTACTTGCCATTTGTCTTTTGACTTTATGATGTTTTTAAATCCAAATAATTTCTTCTATGTAGTAGGATTTATCAGATGTTTTTAAAAAATGTCGTGTGGAATTTGTAAAAGTGAGACTACCTGGCAAAGACACTTCAGATTAGATCTCAGCTAACGCTTAGGTTATTAGCAAAGAATATAAAAAGTTATTTCAGTTGTCTTTTTAAAGAATATGCACAGGGATTTGATTGTTAGGCAGAAGACCGGTGAGCGGTACCACATCTTGGCACAACGTAGTTTTCTTAGGCTTCAACTGCCGTGGTGTTTGTTGCTCCCAGTAGATCCAAAGTCACATGGAGTTGGGACACCTTCACAGTGTAGACAATACTCTTCACACATGAGCACTATCATTCAGACTCATAAATTTGCATTCATACATGCCATAAAAACTGATCTTACCCAAATTTCTTCCTGAGATTTTCATCTTTTTGAGATGAGGCTTTTCTCATTTTCCTTGCATAGGGACTAGAAGGCACTGTCCCACAGCAGACATCCAGGAATCAATTAGCAATGACCCACATGCTGACATTTGCCAATCACTTGGGTATTCTACAGAAATACAAGCCACCTGAAGACTAGTCTTGGAATATTTTGTGGCTTTATTTTCTTAAAATTTGGTAAAGCCTACTGCTATAAAAGACAGGAAAGTCCCGTCTCTCTCACACATGCGCTTATAGAATAGAACATTAATGTTTGGAGCCTTGCAAATGACTCCATTTTTCATAATGGAAAATAAGTAGTACAACCTAAAATTAAAACTTCTTACTTTTGTTTAAAATTTTCTTTATACTATTAGCACGTATTCTTGAATTTCTAAATCCCTTTTTTGTCTGTTAGATTTGCAAGTTTTTGAGCTTCCTATAACGTTATGCATGTGATGACACTGTTATTCTTCAGTGACTTGGCTTTTTCATGGAATCGTGAAATTTTTCCTAAGTACATTAAATTAAGCATGCTAATTATGTTGGTCAAAACCTGAATCATCACTGGATTTTGTTTCCTTGATCTATCAATTACCAAGAGGGTAGCCTGAACTGATAGCTTTGACGGCTCCTTTGCAGTTCCTTCAATATTTGCTTTGTATATATTTTGAAGCTAAATTGTTAGGTTCATACAAATTTAACTTTTAAATATCTTCTAAGCGAATTAAACCTTTGATATTTTGAAGCTGTCAGAGTTTTATTTCTCTTAAAACTGTTTGCCTTAAAGTTTCGTTAGGCTGCTATTAACATAGGTAAATTAGCTTGCTATGTGTTTAATGCTTACCTGCTCTATTACTCTTCACCCTTCACCTTCAACTCTTTTCAATTTTGATGGCTTAACTGTTTCTCTTTTAAATGGCATTTAATAGATTTTTTCACTGTTTCTCAATCATTGTTTTAAAGCTAAAGCTTTTTTATATGTTCTTTATATGTTAATTATAATTACTGATATATTTAGATTTATTTTTATGATTATTTGGGGCTTTTCGTTTGTCTCAGCTTTTCTATGTTGCTTTTCTTTTCCTTTCTTGATGTCAGTAAGACATGAGAAATTTCTATCATTCCTCTTTTTCTCCCTACCAGTTGAAAGTTGCATATATTTTTTCTATCCTTTTCATTGTTTTTCTAGAAACTTTACATGCATACTATGTTAAAGACTGTTCCTGTGTTTTAATATCCATTATATCTTTCTTCCCTTTATTAATTGACGCCCTCCACTATTCTGGTGGTCATGTGGTGATGCTACTACTATCATTTTTCAGCTTCTGTCCCTGATAATTATGACCATGTGACTAGGTGTCAGCCAATGGTTCGGAGCAGAAGGTACAGGTACCACTTTTGCCTTGGGTCCGTTAACACGAAGATGCATCTTCACACCTGTTTTCCCTGTCCTCACTGACTGACATGCAGACATGGTGTCATTGAATTCAACCCCTGGAATTAGGAAAACTGGAGCAGCTTCTTGGACCCAGTGGTGAAAGATGCATGTTGAGTTTTCACGTTAGGTCACTAGATGACCAAGTGAGTAAACCCTGCCAGACCCCAGACTCTCCTGCAAGAGAGAGAGAAAACTATTATCCCATTTAAATCACTATGTGTGAGTCTCATTGATGCCATGTCTTAGCCTTTATACTCACTGATCAATATCAGAATTGAGGCGCTGCCATGACACAGACTAAACTATCTGGTGTTGATTCAACAGCCAGGCAACAGGAAACGAGGAGGCAGATACTGAAAGCCAGAAATGTTTACTGTGAAAAAACACTGAATAAAACTCTTGCCAGCATTCACCTGGAAGGCAGAACACATGCCTAGGACGTGTACAGATCTAAGAAAGTAACTGGAAATGGCCAAAATGTTCATGTGTATTCATTGTTCCTTGTTGCTTTTAGCAAGTTACAAAGACAAATGATGGGATATTATCTCCTTGCATAATTTTCCTTCTTTCTTTATGTAATACCATAGAACAATACTCTGGCAATATATTTTGGTTGTATTTGTAACCATTCTGCTGGGGACTGCATTTCCCACTTCTTTTGAACTTAGGTACAGCCATACCACAACATTTTAGCCAGTGATATAGCAACATAAGTGACGTTTGCCAATTCTGCTTCATGTCCTTAAAAATGATATTGTTTATCCTCTATATTCATTTCCTTTTTTTCTTTTTTTTTTTCTCTGGAGTCTCGCTCTGTCACCAGGCTGTAGTGCAGTGGTGTGATCTCGGCTCACTGCAACTTCCGCCCTCCAGGTTCAAATGATTCTCCTGCCTCAGCCTCCCAAGTAGCTGGGACAACAGGAGCACGCCACCACACCAAGCTAATTTTTGAATTTTTAGTAGAGACGGGGTTTCACCATGTTGGCCAGGATGGTCTCGATCTCTTGACCTCATGATCCACCTGCCTTGGCCTCCCAAAGTGCTGGGATTACAGGCGTAAGCCACCGCGCCCAGTCCCATATTCATTTCTTTTGTCTTCTTTTATTTTTATTGAGGTGAAATTTACATAATCTGTAATTAGCCATCTTAATGTATACAATTCAGTGATATATAGTATATTCATAATATTATGCAACTACCAGATCTTTCTAGTTTCAAAATATTTACCATCCCTTAAAATGCCCTATACCCATTAATCGCACTCCATTTCCCCTTTCTCCCACTCCCTGGTAATCTCTGATCGGCTTTTGGTCTCTATGGATTTGCCTATCCTGGATATATCATACTGAAGGAGTCATATAAAACGTGATTTTTTGTGTCTGACTTTTCTCACTTAGCATAATGTTTTTGAGGTTCATCCAAATTGTAGCATGTATTAATATTTCACTCTTTTTTCATGGCTGAATAATATTCTATTGTATGGATATGCCACATTTTGTTTATCTGTTCACCTGATGGACAATTGAGTTGTTTTCACATTTTGGCTATTATGAATAATGCTGTCAACATTCAGGTACAAGTTTCTGTGTGGCACGTATCTTCTTTTCTTTTTTCATACATTTTCTTGTTCATTCTTATACTTTCTTTCTAACAGGTAGGCTTTAAATCACCTTGTTAAGTTTCAAAGAATCATGCTAGAATGTGAGGGCTGGAAAAGTTTGAATTGTATTAAACCTATACTTGGGAGAAATTGACATTTATAAATTTCAGTTTTCACTTGCAAGGACTTCTTTTTATTCTATTTACTTAAATCTTTTATATTTCATGGTAAAGCTCAGTATATAGTTTTCACTTAGATGCATTGTAAATATTTGTAGTTAGTTGTATTTGTATGGTGAAGGCAGCCATGCTGTGAGCAGTAAGAATCTACCTGTTAACATTTGGAAAGTCATTGACCCTTGTAACGCAGTGGCAAACTTACGATCAAATTTTCACCTGTTGTACTTTGGAAGGCAGACTGTGTAAAGCTGTTGTACAATAGAAAATGTAGAAAAATTGTAGCTGCTAGTCTGTGTTGTTTTCTGACTTTTAATTGCATCCTATAAAAGAGACGAACTCAGTATAAAGCTAGTAGGACAGAAACCTCCTGGAGCATAGAGCTCTGCTCTGCCAGGCCAGGGGGTCTTGCTAATCCTGCCCAACAAGATTTCATAATTGGTATGGAACAGTGACTGATGAATGCTCCCATTACCACTTTCTGAAAAGAAGAGCTCAATCATTCCTATCCTACTGTTTCTCCATTATGATGTTCTGGCAGCAAATATTTTTTTCTATTTTTATACATTACCGGATCACAAGAAGCCACATCTAGATGGAACAGAGAGGGGTATATTTCACCCAGTAATCCTCGATGTTGAGTTAGGTGCATTGCTTGGATGAGACCTTGGGGTATCTTCATAGGAAAGGGGCCAGGTGTTCTACATAAGAAAGGAAGGATGAGTATAGACATTGAGAAAAAAAGAGCAGACTTCAGCTGAAACTGTAGTTGACTGTTGAGCAACATAGGAATTAAGGCACCAACCTAATTCCCATGTTGTTCTCGCTGTACATTCAGAAATTTATATAAAACTTTTGATTCCCCAGAAACTTTACTAATAGCCTAATGTTGACCAGAAGCCTTACTGATAATATAAATAGTTGATTAGCACAGATTTTTGTGCTATATGTATTATCTTATCTACTATATTTTTACAATAAAGCAAGCTTGAGAAAAGAAAATATTATTGTGAAAATCATAAGGAAAAGAAAATATATTTACTATTCATAAGTGGAATTGAATCATCTTAAAGGTCTTCATACTTATCAACTTCACGCTGAGGAGGAGAAGGAGGAGGAGAAGGAAGAGGAGGGATTGGTCTTGCTATCTCAGAGTGGCAGAGGTGAAAGAAAATCCACTTATAAGTGGACCATGCAGTTCAAACCTGTGCTGTTCCAGGGTCAGCTGTATTAATTACCCACCAAATATTCATTATCTTCTTTATTTACTTCTTTCTAACAAAACCCCATTTTATTCTGGGAGGCAATACATATAACTAAAGTTCTGCATTTCCCAGTCTCCCTTGCGGTTAAGAGTGGGTAATGAGAGGCAAATGAAAATCATCTAGTGGGGCCTCATGAAAAGCTTCTTAAAGATCACTGAGCTACACCAATCAGACGTAGATTTGGTCTTTTCACATAGTCCCATATTTCTTGGAGGCTTTGTTCATTTCTTTTTATTCTTTTTTCTCTAAACTTCTCTTCTCGCTTCATTTCATTCATTTGATCTTCCATCACTAATACCCTTTCTTCCAGTTGATTGAACTGGCTACTGAGGCTTGTCCCTAAAACAGCTCCTGAAGGAAGCACTAAACATGGAAAGGAACAACCAGTACCAGCCAATGTAAAAACATGCCAAATTGTAAAGACCATAGAGGCTAGGAAGAAACTGCATCAACTAATGAGCAAAATAACCAGCTAACATCATAATGACAGGATCAAATTCACACATAACAATATTAACCTTAAATGTAAATGGGCTAAATGCTCCAATTAAAAGACACAGACTGGCAAATTGGATAAAAAGTCAAGACCCATCAGTGTGCTGTATTCAGGAAACCCATCTCATGTGCAGAGACACACATAGGCTCAAAATAAAGAGATGGAGGAAGATCTACCAAGCAAATGGAAACAAAAAAAGGCAGGGGTTGCATTGCAATCCTACTCTCTGATAAAACAGACTTTAAACCAACAAAGATCAAAAGAGACAAAGAAGGCCATTACATAATGGTAAAGGGATCAATTCAATAAGAAGAGCTAACTATCCTAAATATATACGCACCCAATACAGGAGCACCCAGATTCATAAAGCAAGTCCTTAGAGACCTACAAAGAGACTTAGACTCCCACACAATAATAATGGGAGACTTTAACACCCCACTGTCAACCTTAGACAGATCAATGAAACAGAAAGTTAACAAGGATATCCAGGAATTGAACTCAGCCCTGCGCCAAGTGGACCTAATAGACATCTACAGAACTCTCCACCCCAAATCAACGGAATATACATTCTTTTAAGCACCACACCTATTCCAAAATTGACCACACAGTTGGAAGTAAAGCACTCCTCAGCAAACGTAAAAGAACAGAAATTATAACAAACTGTCTCTCAGACCACAGTGCAATCAAACTAGAACTCAGGATTAAGAAACTCACTCAAAACCACTCAACTACATGGAAACTGAACAACCTGCTCCTGAATGACTACTTAGTACATAATGAAATGAAGGCAGAAATAAAGATGTTCTTTGAAACCAGCAAGAACAAAGACACAACATATCAGAATCTCTGGGACACATTTAAAGCAGTGTGTAGAGGGAAATTTATAGCACTAAATTCCCACAAGAGAAAGCAGGAAAGATCGAAAATTGACACCCTAACATCACAATTAAAAGAACTAGAGAAGCAAGAGCAAACACATTCAAAAGCTAGCAGAAGGCAAGAAATAACTAAGATCAGAGCAGAACTGAAGGAGATAGAGACACAAAAAACCCTTCAAAAGATCAATGAATCCAGGAGCTGGTTTTTTGAAAAGATCAACAAAATTGATAGACCGCTAGCAAGACTAATAAAGAAGAAAAGAGAGAAGAATCAAATAGACGCAATAAAAAATGATAAAGGGGATATCACCGCCGATCCCACAGAAACACAAACTACCATCAGAGAACACTATAAACACCTCTATGCAAATAAACTAGAAAATCTAGAAGAAATGGATAAATTCCTCGACACATACACTCTCCCAAGACTAAACCAGGAAGAAGTTGAATCTCTGAATAGACCAATAACAGGCTCTGAAATTGAGGCAATAATTAATAGCTTACTAACCAAAAAAAGTCCAGGACCAGGTGGATTCACAGCCGAATTCTACCAGAGGTACAAGGAGGAGCTGGTACCATTCCTTCTGAAACTATCCCAATCAATAGAAAAAGAGGGAATCCTCCCTAGCTCATTTTATGAGGCCAGCATCATCCTGATACCAAAGCCTGGCATAGACACACAAAAAAAGAGAATTTTAGACCAATATCCCTGATGAACATCGATGCAAAAATCCTCAATAAACTACTGGTAAACCGAATCCAGCAACACATCCAAAAGCTTATCCACCATGATCGAGTGGGCTTCATCCCTGGGATGCAAGGGTGGTTCAACATACGAAAATCAATAGATGTAATCCAGCATATAAACAGAACCAACGACAAAAACCACATGATTATCTCAATAGATGCAGAAAAGGCCTTTCACAAAATTCAACAACCCTTCATGCTAAAAACTCTCAATAAATTAGGTATTGATGGGACATATCTCAAAATAATAAGAGCTATCTATGACAGACCCACAGCCAATATCATACTGAATGGGCAAAAATTGGAAGCATTCCCTTTGAAAACTGGCACAAGACAGGGATGCCCTCTCTCACCACTCCTATCCAACATACTGTTGGAAGTTCTGGCCAGGGCAATCAGGCAGGAGAAGGAAATAACGGGTATTCAGTTAGGAAAAGAGGAAGTCAAATTGTCCCTGTTTGCAGATGACATGATTGTATATCTAGAAAACCCCATCGTCTCAGCCCAAAATCTCCTTAAGCTGATAAGCAACTTCAGCAAAGTCTCAGGATACAAAATCAATGGGCAAAAATCACAAGCATTCTTATACACCAATAACAGACAAACAGAGAGCCAAATCATGAGTGAACTCCCATTCACAATTGCTTCAAAGAGAATAAAATACCTAGGAATCCAACTTACAAGGGACGTGAAGGACCTCTTCAAGGAGAACTACAAACCACTCCTCAATGAAGTAAAAGAGGATACAAACAAATGGAAGAACATTCCATGCTCATGGGTAGGAAGAAACAATATCATGAAAATGGCCATACTGCCCAAGGCAATTTATAGATTCAATGCCATCCCCATCAAGTTACCAATGACTTTCTTCACAGAATTGGAAAAAACTACTTTAAAGTTCATATGGATCCAAAAACAGCCCTCATTGCCAAGTCAATCCTAAGCCAAAAGAGCAAAGCCAGAGGCATCACGCTACCTGACTTCAAACTATACTACAAGGCTACAGTAGCCAAAACAGCATGGTACTGGCACCAAAACAGAGATATAGACCAATGGGACAGAACAGAGCCCTCAGAAATAATGCCACATATCTACAACTATCTGATCTTTGACAAACCTGACAAAAACAAGAAATGGGGAAAGGATTCTCTAATAAATGGTGCTGGGAAAACTGGCTAGCCATATGTAGAAAGCTGAAACTGGACCCCTTCCTTACACCTTACACAAAAATTAATTCAAAATGGATTAAAGACTTACATGTTAGACCTAAAACCATAAAAACCCTAGAAGAAAACCTAGGCAATACCATTCAGGACGTAGGCATGGGCAAGGACTTCATGTCTAAAACACCAAAAGCAATGGCAACAAAAGACAACATTGACAAATGGGATCTAATTAAACTAAAGAGCTTCTGCACAGCAAAAGAAACTACCATCAGAGTGAACAGGCAACCTACAACATGGGAGAAAATTTTTGCAATCTACTTATCTGACAAAGGGCTAATATCCAGAATCTACAATGAACTCAAACAAATTTACAAGAAAGAAACAAACAAGCCCATCAAAAAGAGGCGAAGGATATGAACAGACACTTCTCAAAAGAAGACATTTATGCAGCCAAAAGACACATGAAAAAATGCTCATCATCACTGGCCGTCAGAGAAATGCAAATCAAAACCACAATGAGATACCATCTCACACAAGTTGGAATGGCGATCATTAAAAAGTCAGGAAACAACAGGTGCTGGAGAGGATGTGGAGAAATAGGAACACTTTTACACTGTTGGTGGGACTGTAAACTAGTTCAACCCTTGTGGAAGTCAGTGTGGCGATTCCTCAGGGATCTAGAACTAGAAATACCATTTGATCCAGCCATCCCATTACTGGGTATATACCCAAAGGATTATAAATCATGCTGCTGTAAGGACACATGCACACGTATGTTTACTGCGGCACTATTCACAATAGCAAAGACTTGGAATCAACCCAAATGTCCAACAACGATAGACTGGATTAAGAAAATGTGGTACATATACACCATGGAATACTATGCAGCCATAAAAAATGATGAGTGCATGTCCTTTATAGGGACATGGATGAAGCTGGAAACCATCATTCCCAGCAAACTATCGCAAGGACAGAAAACCAAGCACCGCATGTTCTCACTCATAGGTGGGAATTGAACAATAAGAACACATGGACACAGGAAGGGGAACATCACACAACAGGGCCTGTTGTGGGGTGGGGCGATGGGGGAGGGATAACATTAGAAGATACACCTGACGCTAAATGATGAGTTAATGGGTGCAACACACCAACATGGCACATGTATACGTATGTAACAAACCTGCACGTTGTGCACATGTACCCTAAAACTTAAAGTATAATAATAAAAAAAAGACTATGAAATTTAAAAACAAAAAAGACAAAAAGATCACTGAGCTGGTGAAGGAGGATGTCCTTTCATCCTTCCCCTTTCTTTCTCCTTCCCTTTTCCTGGAATATTTTGGTGGAATGGTGAATTAGCACTTATTGTCTATTGCAACTCCCTTCTAGAGTGTCTTCTTATGTTTCAAAGACTGGAAAGCTAAAAATGACTTTCCCCAGATTTCCTTGCAGCTATGCTTTTGTATGCAGTGAATGCTCAACCCCTCAGGTACACAAGTGATGATTTGGAAGGCAGATGTAAAGCAAAATGGAGAGGTGTTGCTTCTGTTGTTCCTTCTGGCAAGCCCCATTAGGCAGGCATCCAGTTGTGCTGGGAAGAAGCATTTGCTGAGGACTTCATTTCTGATCATTGAAGTCATGGGTGCAGAAACAGCTTGGTTCTGAAGACAGCATCCGTGGTACGAGATTCCCAATCATTATAGCTTTGTGATTGTGTGGCTTCCTGGGATTGCAGCTCCCTCACTGTGCAGGAGCCCTGAGGTTCTGGACCCAGCAAGTGGAGTGGCAGCATTCCAATCAGGAAAGGAGCTTCTTGGTCATAGTAGGGACAAGAAGGGACAATAACTCCCTCGGTGGCCCAGTTTTCTCAGGTGACTTTGGAAGTTAGTCGCAAAATATTAACATAGAGTTTGTTTTTCTGCCTTGTCTAGGATTCCAGAAGCTCTTTAGTACAGGAATAGAGCCATTTGTGTGTCAAGTAGCTGGAGCAGATTCAGTTCTCTGCAGTTGAAAACTGATGAAAGACATATGATGTGATAGGGAGAACTTGAGCAGCTATGCCAGATCATGAGGCATCTGCGGAAATGGAGCCTACAGCTAAGAGGGTGGAAAAGAAAGGGGAAAGGATCCTCGGTGTTGTCACGACCACGTTAGCCCTTCACTGCCATCTCTGGAACTATCTTTTATATGTCACAACATTTCCTTAATATGTTATGTTACTACAGGTGTCTGCTTCTTGCAGTCAAACGAAATTCCTATTTGTATAACACTCATTCTAGTTATTTTTCTGTTGGTATTATTAATCAGGCCTTTTTCCTGCCATTTTTCCTATTGCTTATTACCAAGAAAGAAAAAACTCATTGGTCTTTATTTACTGTTATATCCTTCAACATTACAGAGCTCTCCTATTCATACTAATAATTTTACAGTGAATTCCTTTAGACCATGTTTATTTAATATCTGTCAGGAAAGTGAAAGGGAAAGCTAAAACTCAAGATAATTAGATGACCCAATATTTTTAATTTCATGCGTAAATCTGGCAGAAATAGCCTTTGATTTTTATGTAACTTTATATTTATTTCATTATGTAAAATATACCCAAAAGTTTATGTGTTAATTTTAATAAAAACAATTCAACATTGTTTATAAGACATACCCAATATTTATAAACTATTGCCTTTGGTTACAGCTATTCTACTAAATTAGTAAAACAAAAATATTTCCCAACTGCTCTTGTCAAACTGCAGATGGTTCAACTTCCAAAGGATTAATAAGTGTATGTTTCACTTCTTTCAGTAAACAGAATGACTGCAAAACTGATTATTAAAAAATTTCATAAGATAAACATTTTATTTATGTATTTAGTTATTTAATTTTAGAGATGGGATCCAGCTCTGTCACCCAGGCTGGAGTGCAATGGTGTGATCATAGCTCACTGCAGCCTCAAACTCCTGGGTTCAAGCACTCCTCCCACCTCAGCCTCCCAGCACAACTGGGACTACAAGTGTACACCACTACGCCTAGATAATATTTTTAATTTTGTGTAGAAATGGGAATCTCACTATGTTGTCCAGACTGGCCTCAAGGTGAACACTTTAAATGCATATTTTCTGTCTTTGGACAAAATGCTACGGACACAGAGGCAGAAAAGCTGAACACCACATATTCAATCATACCAGGTTCTTTTCCTTCAAGATATCACCAACTTCTCTCGGTCCAAACTTTTTAATAAGGAAATTTACTTTAGCTTTAGCTCTAAAATTCTATGATTTCTGTATATACATTGAATGTATAAGTTTATGGCAAAATATAAGAAGTTTTTTGAATAAAAGACTCATAAATTCAAAACAAAAAATACTAAAATAAATTATACTTCTTCCTTCAATTTTAAGGTCAATTTTTTTTTAATTTGGAAGTTTCTGAAATGAAAGTACATCTTAAAAATATGAGCTTAATGTGGTGGTTTTTTCTCTCTACCCTGCCCCCCTGCTTCACCATTAGTAAATCTTACATTCGATGGCATGTGAGAATCTAGAAAAAAAAAAAAAAAGCAAAATAGGCACAAAGGTCTCATTTCCATATGAACCTAAATTGAGATTTGTACCTATCTGTGCATGGGGTCAGGGGCTCACACATGTCTATAGCAACTGATCTACATAGGAGTGGGGGTGTTGAGAGAAGCTGTCTAGAGGAATTTGTTAGCCAGATGCCTATAAACAGGGTCATAAGAAAATCAGTGAGCCATGAGATACGCAGATTAGATGTCCAGGCGAGGAGCTGAAACACAGGGTTGGGAGAATAGCTTTTGTCCTACCTTTAAGTTAGACACATCACTGTGCTGGGCCCATTTCCACTATCTGGTGATCTCAGGAACCGTGACAAAGCACCAGAAGGGACTAGGTGCCCAGAAAACATGGTCGTCAATGGATGCTCACAGGGGATGGAGGGTCCCTGGCAGAATCAGAGCAGCACCCTAAAAAGGGCAGATTTTTCTGTGTGATAAAATCCCAGGGAACCCAGATAAAATTGGAGTGACTTTGAGGCTAAGGTCCTGCAAAGAGGTATTATGAGCCCATGAAATGTAAGTGTTAATATTAATGTGACTTCTTCTAAACCTATAGGCTAGGGAAATGTTTTGGAAGAGTAATATAAATACATACATACACACATACACACACACATATATATTTCTACACATATATAAACTTGCATCTTTATTTCTCTCTTTCTCTGTCTTTCTACACACACACACGCACACACACACACACACAAAACCATTCCTACTTACCTTGCAGAAATTAGGAAAGAAATTAGTCAATAGACTTTGCCTAGTTTTTCATTTGAAACACCCCTGTCAGTGTTAATTTCAAGGCATTTCTCAACTCAAAGGGAGGCCTGGGGCTGAGTTTTGAGTACAAACCTAGCGAGTAATAAATCACTCTACAGAAGAAAATGGGATGAATGGGGTGGCAGCTCCGAAGGAGGGGGCAGAAGGGAAAGAATGAGCAAGCAGCATGAATGACGGGCCCAGGGAATTTGGGAAACAAGGATATAAAGAAATATTCAGTTATAAGTTACTTGGAACACAAGTTGATCCCTCCCTTTTCAACAACCAAATTTGTCACTCATCAGCTACACAAGTTGTTGTTTTGTAGAAATTAAGAAAGGAGTTGAATTTCATTTGATACCAAAGTATAAATTTTTTTAAAGGTGTGAAAAACAATTCAGAAGAATCAGAAATTTAGGGCTAGAGGTGACCATGAGAATGCAAGGCCATGGTATCCAGAAACATTTTGGAAAGGGCATTGGGCTTTTGTAAGGCAAGAGGATGGGCCATCTTATTCAGATCTGTAGAGAAAAGGAGACCTTTTTTGGAGAGAGATGGATCAAGGTGGAGGTGGAGGTAGGGCGACCACATAATCTGGTTTTCCTAGAATAATTTCAGTTTATCTCTGTCGTCCTGAGGTCTTGTCTATTTTTGTGTTTGCCCAGACTTCATTTTCTCATAAAGTATTATTATTAACAGTTACAGCAACATAAGCTGGGTGGATTTAATAGATTTTTCACTTTGTATCTTCACCTTCACTCATGGCTTCTAGTATGTGGGACACAAATGCAAATAATTAAATCTACATATTTTTCCAGCTGCAACAAACTTGAACCTTTAGGATCAATTGAAGATTCTATTTTAAGAAGACTGTACCTGCAGACAAGTTATTACCATGTGCCACTCTGCACACAGTGTATTTACATATCACACTGAAGCATGATTTCTCATTCAGATCAAACAAAATAATCACATTTAGCTTAGACACTTCTGAAATAATTTTTCTTACTTTTATTCCAACTTTTCTTGTGCCTATAAAAAAGTAAAGCAACAGCTGTTAATGTGTTAATACCATTAATAGAAGAAGACCTTTGCAAGCATGAGATGCTTCAAATAGAAAATGAGTTGGGGTGAGTCCTTAAGCGGTTCAATTTTTCCACCTAATTTATGAAATTGTAACAAAGCTTTTTGAAATGCATCCTATCAAAAGTGAATCATTTTAAATTCTCGTAAGTGCATTGTAAAGTCAATTTTAAAATTAAACATTGATGGAAAAGTTGTTGGTTTTTGAGATAATACTACAAATACAAATTTTGGTGGTGGAAAGCATTATTAAAAATATTGTTCTACATGAAGGCACCAATGAACAGAAATATTCTGGAATTGGTTGTGATTAAAGTAATGCATAATCATTTCAAAGTAAGCAGTGATATTCTATCAATCAAAAATAAGATGGAGTTCACAAAATTTATACATACAGTTGTCTCTCAGTATCCACAGATGATTGGTTCCAGGATCCCCTGCAGATACCAAAATCTACAGATGCTTAAGTCATTTATATAAAATGCCCTAACATTTGAGTATAATCTATGTACATCCTCCTATACATACTTACATCATCTGCAGATTACTTTACTATGTGATACAATGTAAATAGTTGTTGCACTGTATTGTTTTCAAATGTATATTATTTTTATTGTTGCATTGTTATTTTTTTTTGAATATTTCTGATCTACTGCTGGTTGAATCCATGGATGCGGAGCCTGCTGCTAGGGTCAACTGTATCATACATATACTCAGGGTAAATAAACTACAGAATTTAGAGGATGAGCTGATGATGAATTTAAAATATTTCAGCATTGTAGTTGTGCCTTTGCTCTTTGACACTCATCTTAAATCAGATTTTAGAAATGTTTGAACCATTAGAGATCTATTTTTTAAATCAAACTAGGTAATCTAAAATATTAGGAAGCATATTGTAAATGAGTTCCTTAATTTTTTTAATATTTATTTATTTATTTACTGAGACAGGGTCTCCTTTCAACATCCAGGCTGGAGTGCAGTGGTGCAATTATGGCTCACTGCAGCCTTGACCTCCTGGGCTCAAGTGATCCTCCCACCTCAGCCCCCAGAGTAACTGGGACTACAGGCATGCACTACCACGCCTGGGTAATTTTTGTATTTTTTGTAGAAATGGGTTTTGCCATGTTGTTCAGGCTGGTCTCGAACTCCTGAGCTCAAGCAATCCTCCTGCCTCAGCCTCCCAAAGTGCTGGGGTTACAGGAATGAGCCACCACACCTGTCTGAGTTCCTTAATTTTGTTTGCGTTTTTGGTCAAGGCTTACAACTTGCTTATTAGGTTCACTTCAGGCGACCATGCTATGCCGACCAATCCAAAAAGCTGTTAAGCCCTAAGCTATGCCCAGTCCCAACCAGTTCCTC
Organism: Homo sapiens; assembly: GCF_000001405.40. Classification (NCBI taxonomy): domain Eukaryota; kingdom Metazoa; phylum Chordata; class Mammalia; order Primates; family Hominidae; genus Homo; species Homo sapiens. Next base: position 91,573,970 of record NC_000015.10, on the reverse strand, counting down.
ATCTTGCAGATCTTCCTTAAAACTGTTCAGCCCAGGCTCTAAACTTCTGTAAGTATTCTCCCGTAATTTCTCCTGTTTGAGACACCACTAGGAGTATTGTGGTGACATTCTCCGTCACTGCACAAGGTCCAATATCCTCAACTTTACCTGATCAGCAGGTTTCATTCGCCATCTTAAGTCAAACCTGCCTTTCTTGTATTGTACTGACTTTATCTCTCTCCACCTGGTCTAGTGTCATCAGTTTGGCCTGCATGTTTTTCCTTCTTTTATGAAAAGCGTTTTTCCTCAAAATTAGCTTCACTACTTTTCCCACTGCTCTGCAATATCAACCATACTGCCAACAGAGTTTTCTTTCATCTTTATCCTTTCTAGGGCAGATGAAGGGCTTTATTTAAAGAAAAGGGCTTAGGATCTACTAGAGAATGAAGTCAGGGAAATGCAGAACTCTTTGACCTCTTTCTTTCTTTCTCTCTCTCTCTTTTCTTTCTCTCTTTCTTCCCCTTCCTTCCTCCCTTCCTCCCTCCTTCTTTCTCTTCCTTCCTTCCTCCCTCCTTTTCCTTCCTTCCTTCCTTTCCTTCTTTCTTTCCTTCTTTCCTTCCTTCTTTCTCGAGACAGAGTCTCACTCCGTCACCCAGGCTGGAGTGCACTGGCGCGTTCTCAGCTCACTGCAACCTCTGCCTCCCAGGTTCAAGCGATTCTCCTGCCTCAGCCTCCCAAGTAGCTGAGACTACAGGAACACACCACCATGCCTGGCTAATTTTTGTATTTTTAGTAGAGATGGGGTTTCCCCATGTTGGCTAGGCTGGTTTTGAATGCCTGACTTCAAGTAATCCACCCACCTTGGCCTCCCAAAGTGCTGGGGTTACAGGCGTGAGCCACCACGCCCGGCCTCTTTGGCCTTTATTTATGTTTTGTCTCCTTACTCTGCTCTCCCTGCTGCATAACTTAGATTGAGAGTAACTGTCACGAGTCCCACCAAAGTGGTTCTTCCCAAACTTTAGTATGAGAATCGCTGGGAGGTCCTGTTAAAACAAATTCCTGGACCTTTTCTTAAGATCCAGGTGTGGTATTTCTAGCAGGGAGCCCAAGAATTGGGATTTCTAATAGGATCCCAGGTAATGCTGATGTTGCTGGCCTGGAGACCACACTGACCAACTTAGAGTCAGTGTAGTACTGACTCTCATGAATTTCCAAGTAAGTTCAAACAACAAAGAGTGTCTGGTCCTTCTTCCTCTGGAATCAATGCTTAAGCAATAGAGTAACATTAAAAAGACAAAAGATTAGCAGGTTAATCCCATCTATGAATGCCATAGTTAACTACACTTTATATCCTGTAATCAGGATCCGAGGAGTAACTGGGTGCTATTCTGTAGAATAAGATAGGAATGGTATTTCCCAAAGTTGCATAATGATGGTATATTGCAGTGTAAGGCCCGAAATTCAGGCTCCATATTGTGTGCTGCCTTGACATCCGGTAAAATTGAGAGGGCCTTGAATGGCCTAATAGCAAGTTCCTCTCCCTACTCTGTTCCCATGGATAAGGTCTTCCAGCCAAACAAACCTCCTTAACAAAGGAACCAGGCGCAGTTCCTGCTGATCCTTTAGTAGCAGGTTTTGGTTCTCTGCCAGCCCACAGAATGTGCAAACAAGCCGATCTCATCCTCCCTTGGGAACTGGAGGTCACTCTACCCTCTTGATACTACAAACCCTGCCTCCTCCAGCCTCTTATTCCCTCTGCTCCTGAGTGACTCCCTGTGTGACTCTGCGTGGTGTGTGTGTGCTCTTCTCTCCCAGGCTGAGTCTACCTGACTAATTACCTGCTGTGTGTCTCATCGGTGGGGTGTGGGGTGTCATGTGTTCTGCCATCCTCACAACCCTGGGATGAAAATCCCCTCTCACCAACAAGGTGAAGAGGGCGTGTCTCAAACATGTATTCCTTGTGACAAGTAAGTTTCCCTAAAAGGGATGAAATAATCTGATTCTAGGGTTTTGAAGTAAAAGCAAACACAAAAGTCCCGCACCACACAGGTATCTAATTATACCCAACAAGCTCCAAACCCAATATTAAAAACAGGTGGGGCCAGGCACAGTGACTCACGCCTGTAATCCTAGCACTCTGGGAGGCTGAGGTGGGCAGATCATGAGGTCAGGAGTTCCAGACCAGCCTGGCCAGCATGGTGAAACCCCAACTGTACGAAAAATACAAAAAAAAAAAAAGAAAGAAAATTAGCCAGGCATGATGGCGCGTGCCTGTAATCCCAGCTACTCAAGAGGCTGAGGCAGGAAAATTGCTTGAACCTGGGAGGCAGAGGTTGCAGTGAGCCAAGATCACACCACTGCACTCCAGCCTGGGCAACAGAGCGAGATTGTCTCAAAAAACAAACAAACAAAAAACCACGTGATAGTCTTGAATGTAAATACCACAATTTCTAGCATTGGGAATCAATTAACTATTTTCATCACATTTTAAAAAGAGAACACATTCATAATGACAGGCTTTCAAACCAGGCAAAGAAGTAAAGTCTTTTGGTGTAACATGGACTTCTGTGACATATCAATGCAGGTGAGCTGTCTTAATGAGACACCAGATGGACACAGCAGGTCCCAGTGTCCCTCTCACCACTGCCTCTTGTTCACTGCCCTAGCTCCTCCTGAATCCCCATCTTCTTCTGCATCCCACCTGCCTAAACATAGTCCCAATGGCACTAAATCTATAGGAGTAAGAACTAATGTGAGAAATAAGCCATAGGCAATGCAGATTTCAATTATCCTGGCTGCACGCTATCCTTTTCACTGCAGTTACTTGTAACTGGAAGTGACACTTTCTCAGGCAAATACAAACAATGCACACCTTGAGGAAACAGGTTCCAGATTCCCCCACAGTTGGCCCCCAGCAATCCTGACCTACCTGTCAGTGCAAGTGTTGACTAAGGTTATAAGGACTAAGGCACATATATACACTTCATCCATATCAGAGATTACCGACTCTGAGATAAAAGGCAACATGATGTCTGTCCCCTGATGTGCCTTTTGGAAGCTTAGATGCTGTTAGTCCATTTGCATTACTATAAAGGAATGGCTAAGGCTGGGTGATTTATAAATAAAAGAGGTTTATTTTGGCTCACAGTTCTGCAGGCAATATGAGAAGCATGATGCCAGCATCTGCTCCTGGGGAGACCTCAGGAAGCTTATAATCATGGTGAAAGGCTAGTGAGGGGCTAGTGTACCATATGGTGAGAGTGGTAACAAGAGAGCGGGCAAGAAGTACTAGGCTTTTTAAACAACAAGATCTTTGTGAACACTTTACAATGTGGAGGGCGCCAAGCAATTCGTGGGGGAGAATGCCCACCTCCATGACCCAAACACCTCCTACCAGGCCCCACCTACAACATTGGGGATCACGTTTCAACATGATATTTGGAGGAGAAACACGTCTAACCATATCAAATGCATTCACTGAACATGGGACACAGCACTGAACAGCCCCAGCAACCCACAGCTGACCTTCTTCCTCACCTTCTTCGTGTTGCCCAAGGCTCAGACAGCCCTGGGAGCTGTTTCCTAATTGACCTCCAGCAATTGTTTACAAATGGACCAGAAACATGGGCAAGACTCCTCAGGACATGATCAACCTGGTATCAGCCTGGATAAAATCCCTTCAATGCAACTGTTCTCCCCCTGAGATATAGAAACATTGCCTAAGGGTTAAACCCCAGCTCTCTCTACTAAATTCACCTTGCTAATGACTCCAGCCCTAGAAAGTGTTTCCTGTCAGTATTACACAGAGGACAGATTTAAAATGCAGATTCCTGGGTCTTACATCAGACCTAGCAAGATGTTGGGATAGACCAGGGAGCAAGACGTAGCATCAGCCTCCAATGGGGACAGACAAGGAAAGGTTGGTTACAAAGCAGGGTGAGCACTGCAGTGACAGGCTGAGAGAGAGAGCACTCTGGGAGCACGTGGCGGGCACTTTGCTGAGGTGCTGACATGGGAAAGCCTTCCTGAGGAAGGAATATTTACTCTGAGGCTGAAGGATGGTTAGGTATTGATTCAGATGTGTCCAAGATCCCAGACTGGGGTAAAGACCTAGAGGTGACAGAGACAAGGCATCTTCATGTCGATAAGGTAACACCATCTTTAACTCCTCCCAAAATAGAAATCATCACCCCCCAACCTGTTCCTCAACTTATGCTTGTAAAAAATGCAGGGCAACCAGCAGTAAAATAAAAAGAATTAGGATGTATACCTTAAAAACCACAAAAGAGACAAAAACTAAAACTAAAAAAGATTTTGAGCATTTAGGAAAGTCAAGAAGTAGAAAAAAGGAAGAAACATAAGATCTCAGAAAGAAAACATTAAGAGATGGCAAAAATAACACCAAATACATCAAGAGTGACGAGAGAGGTTAAAAAACAAGTTCTTTTAGAATGGGTAAAAATTTAAATCCTGCTATAAGCTGTTTATGGAGATATACATGCAGTAAATGACACAAAGCTTGAAAGTAAAGAGGTTTGTTAAAAAATACCAAACAAACATAAACAAAATTTTAAAAGCAGAGGAACTCATTAGGCAAAGTAAAATTCAAGCAAAACAGATTTAAAAGGCAAAGAGGAACACTTTATATTGATAATGGAGCAGTGAAAAGCATGCCTAGCTTGACAAGCTCTATTTTGCTTCTAAACTCTCTGCAGTGATACATTTTAGGTTACACATTTTAGGTTAACTGCTTTTGCTTATCTCTGCATGTAGGCTGAGCTAACTATGGGAGGAATTTAGTTTACAGTTTAGCATTAAAGCAAGAATGATAATAGTCTCTTCCCAAAAGTAACTCTTGAAGAAATAAGGAGCATGTACATACAAGGAAAGATGTACCTGACCAAGGGCAAAGAAGCTTCACAAGCCTCCCTTCGACACCTGCCACTGCAATCATTGGTCACCTCTTGATGTCTGCAATCATTGGTCACCTCTTGATCCCAAGTCTTTCCCTTTTCCCTCTCCCCTAACATAAAAGGAGTCTAAAATTCTATTAACTTAAGATGGTTAAGATGGATGGTTCTTTAGGACATGAGTCCACCATCTTCTCAGTTTGCTGGTTCTCCGAAATAAAGTCAATGTCCTTGCCCCAACACCTTGTCTCTTGACTTATTGGCTGTCATGTGGTGAGCAGTTCAGGCGTTGGACTCAACTACGATGAAGGAACCATTAGTACACCAAGAAGTCAATGAACAACAATGAACCCCGAAGCATCAAAAACCTTGCATCAAAACATGTGAAGCAAAACTATTAGCAATCAGGAATTCTACAAAGCTGTAATTAAGGTGGGAAATATTTAAACATCTCTCTCTAAATCAGACAGATCAACAAACAAAATTAAATAAGTTTGAAGAAATGGTAAGGTTAATTTAGAACTAGTTACCATGAATTGAACGTTTATTTTAAATCAGTTTCTGCCCAACAAGTATCAATCCAAAAATGAGCAAAGTACGCAAATAGATATTTTTAAAGAAGATATACAAGCAGCCAATATGCATATGAAAAAAATGTTCAACATCATTAGTCATTAGAGAAATGCAAATCCAAACTGCAATGCGATAAAACTTCACACCTACTAGGATGGCTATAATTTGTTAAAATCAGTGAATAACATGTTGAGAAAGGTGGTTGTGCTGGTTCTCTGCAATAAAGTCACCTTCCTTGGCCTGATACTTTGTTGCTTCAATTATTGATTGTCACGTGACAAGAGGTATGAGCTTTGGACTCAACTGCAACAAAAGATATATTATTGCACCAAGAAATCAAAACAACAATGAACCCTACAGCATCAAAAACCTTTCATCAAAACATGTAATCTATTTATCTGCATTGTATCTCAATTATTCCAAGGTGCCAGGGTGCAACCATTTCCTAAATTCTTAGGACCCATGAAAATCTGCATGAGGGACAAGGAAATTAGCTTTCATTTTATGCCAAGCAGAACAAAGAATGATTTACCATACGTCTTCAAACCCTTTACTGTTAGGAATTCTTACCTTATTTCGAGATGAGGAAACACACACAAAGAAGTTGAATGAGTTGCTTGAGGAGTCACACCTAGTTAGCAAGTGCCAGAGTCATTGTTGAATCCAGCCTTCCCTGACTCCAGGTTCATGCTTTTCCAGCCACATCAGGTGGCTGCCCTTGGCCCAGGAGAAAGTCAAGGAGATAATTAGAATGCATATATAATCTGTGCACTAGAGTTGATGCATAGATGATAATAGGAATAATAACCATGTTAAGAATAGAAAGAAGAGGAGGAAGAGGAACAGGAGGAAGAAGGTGGCAACACCCTATATCTAGCACTACCCTCTGAGACAGAACAAGTATTGTCCTCATTTTACAATTAGAAAAATGAAGATTTACGGAATTCAAATAACTTGGCAAGACCTCATAGCCAGAAAGCAGAAGGTCCACAATAACATATTTGATAATACAAAAAAAGACAATATTTGGAACTGCCTTAGAGCTTACAACAAACATATCAGTATTATATTTTTCTTTGTTTTCTCTAAGAGTCCAGCAGCTCTGAAGTGCTTTGGCACTGTTTTGCTGGGTCACTTATCTAGATGCCCATTGCAAAATGGAACAGAAGGCCTGCCTAACCTTCAGGTCTATGAAGGCTTTAGAATCAAGACAAACTTGAACAGTAGCTCCGGACTTTTCTTTCCTTTCTAAATGTGTTGTAAAAGATCTCACCATCTTGACTCAGTGATTTGAGATTAATGGTAACAATAGCTACATTTATAAAGGCTGCTGCTGCGATTGGCTCCCACCTGGCCGTTTAACAAGCAGTATCTAATCTACTTGTCAGTTCAGTCCTTCAAGATAGATGTGGCTGAGGCTGCAAGAGCCTTCCAGAATCTGTGTTTTCACATCTGGGCATGGAACTGGACAACTTTTCCAGCTCCCTTGCTTCTAGGTGTGGCCATACAACGAGGTCTCAACAATGGAACAGACCCAGGAGTGATGTGTCACCTCTGAACTAAGGTGGTGAGACTCGTGTCCTTTCTTTACATTCTCTCTCTTTCCAGCCACCTTTCCCCATCTATGGGCTGAGTTCAGGGAATGATACGGTTCTAGAAGGTGGTGGAAATACACAACGGGAGGTCTCTGGACCCTCAAATCACCATATGGAACTGAGTCCCTCCCCCACAATTTATACTGAAATATAAGATGAGAAATACACTTTCCTTGTGTTAAGCCACTGAGACTTAATGGTGTTTTGTTACATCAGGTAGAATTATCCACCTCAACCATGGCAGTAAGTATTATTATTCCCATCTTGCACATTTGATAGTTGACATTTATTGAGCATTTATTATGTGTTGGATACTCTAATTTAATCTATTACTATCAATATTTTACAAATAAGGAAATAAAGATGCCAAGGAGTTACTTGAACTGCTAGTTCCCAGCTAGTATATGATGATGCCACGGTGCAACTCCAAATTTGAATCTTCCAGTTCATGTGACCCCAGAAGTGAGCTTTACAGAAGGACAAGTTCAATTCGCAAATGGAGTGGTTGAGTGTCTTTTGTGGTTTCTTATCTCCATAACCATTCACTGCATCACAATAAGTGCCATTTGATTCTTAAGCTTGATGAGTTAAGCTTATGGTACAATTTCAACCACCGGAAATGGGAATGGTAACCCTTAAGCAGCTGTCGGATAGAGAGAAGTTCAGGGAGATTGCCAACAACCTTGGCCTCAGGATAGAACTCACCACTCCATTACTTTACCCCACCACCTTGGCTCTACCACCTGGTAAACTTACAAATAATGGAATAAATGAAAAATATCATAGTCCTGGAATATATGACAGCTGTGAATTTCATAAGGCTGTTGTGACAGTAAAGAAAGTGCAACTGGATCTTTCTAAAAAATTTATTCTACTGAAGGTGCTGTAGCAACCACTGTCTTCTCCTGGCTTATTTTTGCAGGAGTGTAAAGCAGCTGGAAACAGAGATGCAGGGAGTCACATCTGCTGCAAGTGAGAGGGCAGACCTGTTGCCTCTTCTCTGCAGCAGTAGCCTCATATTGTAGTTACTTCTGAGGTCATGCCCCTCTTCCTATTAGCATCAATTCATCTTCGGTGTGAAATGACTATTAACTGATTCTGGACTCCTAAAACATGTTTTGGTTAATGTTGAACATTATAATAACTTTAAAAACCATTGACATGGCCAGGCAGGGTGGCTCATGCCTGTAATCCCAGCATTTTGGGAGGGCGAGGTGGGCAGATCATGAAGTCAGGAGTTCGAGACCAGCCTGGCCGACATGGTGAAACACCATCTCCATTAAAAATTTAAGAATTAGCCAAGCATGGTGGTTTGTGCCTGTAGTCCCAGCTACTCGGGAGGCTGAGGCAGGAGAATTGCTTGAACCCAGGATGCGGAGATTGCAGTGAGCTGAGATCGCGCCACTGCATTCCAGCCTGGGTAACAGAGTGAAACTCCATTTCAAAAAATAAAATAATAAAAACCATTGACACTGGTTAGAAAGAAAAATTCAACAAATGGAGTTCTGACACTTATGAGTAGTAGGTTCTGTTCCAAACTCATAAACTCTGACCTCATTTTTTCTTAGTGAAATGAAGTCATTGGTGTAGATGCCCAAGGTTGCCTGGTATCCAGTACGTGGATCTACACTTGAATGCAAAAGGAGGAGATGAGAGAAAACTGTAATGGGATGGTGGAGGGAGAGCAGGGGCACAGTAGAGGGAGAGGCAGTGTGAGATGTCATTGTGTACTTCCCATAGAATGCCTGCCTGGAGTTGGTCCTGCTTTTGGTCCACATCATGGGAACTGCTAAGAGTTCCTGCTGGTTCTGTGATTATACAGTCATCCTATTTGGGATGCAGGATTTGTATCATTAATTTTTTTCAAAAGCCCTATAACAATTCGGGAGCCCAGAAGGGAACAAGGCAAGTACAAGTTTGGGTGCTTTCTATGCAAGATTTTCTAGCTTGGATGAAACCTTGACATCAGCCACACAGTTAGTTCTTTCTCACAGGCTCCATACTCTGTGCTATGATGTGTGACTCTGAGATTTACGGATGTATCTTCTCTCCAGGCACTTCCTGGCTTCCTTTGATAACATATGTAATTAGCTATTTCCCTTCCCTATTAAATTCTGCATATGATCACAGCTATTCTGGCTAAATCAGACTCGAGAGGCCAACATTAATGAAACAAGAATTACAAAATCTGTCTTCATTAAATGGGAAACAGAATAACTGAGACAGTCAAGATGGAAAAATAAACAAAGTATTGTATGAAGGAGGCTGATAAGAATCAATTGCTTACATTTTCAAACATTCAGAATTTAAATCAAAGGCACACCCTATTTTACTGTTTAAATTTTTTTGGAAAAAATGTTTTCACTTCCTCACATATTCCATTTCAAGTTTTGAATGTGGCCCGTCATCTCATTATTTTGGACTGGAGTGTTTGAGTTTCTGAAATTGTATAAGAAGATCTGAGGGCTTATAAGTGTAGGTTGCAGTAACAGAACTATATTCTAGTAGACTCAATTTTTTCTAATTCTACACCAATGGAATACACGGTACGAAGCCAAGGGTTATTCTGTATAAGAAGTTGCTGTTAGAAAGTCAGTTTTTTCTGAGAAGAATAGCTTTAGACCAAAAACTTCTGATGAGAAAAAATACTGTTCATGCATCTTAAAATTGTTTTCAAACTGTATCAGTGACATATACGAATATAAAATGTTACCCATCATATATGCTCCCATCGTACCACTGCTATCACCACAAAAGTGACTACTTACCAAGATGTAAAGGAAGAAAAAATACCTTAACTCTGAGGAAACATCCAATTTAATTTCTTCTATCCCCTGGGCCCTTTTCACTTCTCCATCTTGGTTCTGAATTTTCAGCAATGTCAATGAGTGATGTTTTTAGTTGGAAGAAAGGGATATATTGTATGGATGCACACAAATTAGCAGGAGAGGGCAATTCAATTACGGAGGAGCCAGAATTCTTACTGAGAATTATTGATGACTGCGTCCTGAGGGTTTCCACTTCGTCTAAAATGTACTGAAACTGAAAACTGAAGGAAATACAATGGATGTTTTACAGAAAGCCCAATTTGGAAAATAGAAAGGTAGATCAACTGTCTAATGGAACCTCTATTTAAGTGCTATTTTTGCTCATGAACTAAAGGCATTCTATAATCACTTCCTCAATAATCTTCCTTGTAAGGTAACTTTACTAATCGGTTTAAGGAACAGAATGTCAAGATTAGCCCTCTTATGCTACTGACTGGCTTTATAACCTTAGGAGGAAAACCATAGTTCATTGATCCTCTAATACGAGCTAGGTATTGTACTAGGTGCCGTCACTTCAGCAGACATGCATTGATTTGATTCTCCCTTCATGCCAGGCAGAGTAAAGCTCTGGAAATGGGAAGATAAAAAAGATACAACCCTTTCTCTCAAGAGGCTCACAGTCTAGTGACAAACATAACATAGGATACTCAATGCTCTAGTGTAGATAGAGTGTAAGCAATATGGGGCCCTAAGGAGGGAATGGCCGTGTATTATCTCGTTGAATCCTCCTCAGAGGACTCTTAGCCCAATTTAGCAGACCAGGAAACTGAAACTTACAGGAGTTACACAATGTTGGAGAAAAACCACACACCTCCAAAACTTTATGCTCCTTCTACTAAACTAAGGAAGGGAACCTTTAAATCTCGTTTTTTAAAGTGGTAGAATACCACCCTAGTGCAATGAGTAGGTAGGTAAAAAACTGATAAACACTAATACTTACTGAGTACTTACTAGCTTCCAGACATTGTTCTAAGCACGTTGCATGTATTAATTTATTTAATCCTCACACTACCAATTATATTAGGTATCATAATTATCACCCTGATTTTACTAATGAGAAAAATAGGGAAGGAGGATGAAGTAACTTGCTTACTGGGACACAGTTGGCAAGAACTTGTAACAGCAGGATGTGAACCCAGGCAATTTGGCTCTCACATGGAGAGCTGGGGAGTGTCAAAATAAGATTGCAGAATTTTCTAAATAGGAATACTGTGGGCTGGGGTAGGAGTCACAGCTTTTTCTGCACCAGGTCCACTCTGGGTATTCAGTCCTGCCTGAACATTACCACACAAGAAAGACGGGAGAGCTCAAGAACTCACTAGTCAGGAAGGCATAGGAACCCTATGGAAAAGCGTGCATTTTAAGGAAAGTGTGAATTAGCAGAGGGACAGCATTCAAATGCAAGGCTGTGTGCAAACTTCGAAATGCCTGCTCTCTTGGCTTCTGACTCCCAACTGAGCCCTCCCCTCCTCCCTGGAAAAGACTGAGTGTTATGTCCCAAATGGATGGCCACGGGCTTGTGACCTGAGGAAACTTCTGAAGAGTCCACTTTCAGGGTGCTATGAGTTTGGGGGAGAATCACTACAGTTCTCTCTGAGTGTGGTTCCTTGATCTCTCATTATTTCTGGAAATGCACGCTTTTCTCTGCTCTTCCAAAAGGGCCAAAGAAGGGGCTGGCACCTATGAGATATGGATGGTGTCACTATCGAGCTGCCTGGTCCTCAAAGCTCCCCAAGTGAATTCATCTTGGCTTGCTCAGGACTTTCCCAGTTTTAGCACAGAAATTCCTACTTCCCTAGAAATCCCCAAGTCCTGGGCCAGGTCAGGACAGTTGGTCACCTGACCTTGCCCAGACTCTGCCTAGCATCTTACCAACCCACACCTGCAGACTCAGTCTATTAGTATCATCATTTTACCCCTTCCTCCTATTGTGCAACCCCCTGAATTTCCTAGCATTCCAGCTTTACTGGATGTGCCTCCAAACTCTGTAGGCAGTCTCCTAGAGGCTCAGTCTGTGGACAAAATATCACACGTGTGCAGGCATGATCCATTATGAACAGAGTTCCTTTCTGTGTGTCATCTTATAGAACTTGCCAAGAGCCAGTGCAACAGGCTGGTGGGATGTATAAATATTCTGACTTTACAGTCGAGAAAATTATGACTCAGGTGGAGATGACTTGCTGAAAACAACATAGCTATGATGTGGCAGTATTAGGCCCTCCCTTTTCGAGGTCATGGGCTTGGAACCAACTTCCGTTCAAATCCCAGTTAGGTCATTTCAAGCCGTATGATTTTCCACAAGTTACACAACTTTTCCATGTCTTCATTTCCTCATCTGAAATTTGGAATGGCAACCCAGAATTTATTAAATGAAATAAAATAATGTGCGCACATGACAAACGCTTAGAAAACAATGGCTTTTGGAATACTTGGTAACTGAATCCTGCTTTGTTTCTCGTGGGTAGGAGGCATATTTAAATAAAGGATTCTTTGTCAGAGGAAGAGGTTTAAAACCTTTCTCAACTGAGCTTGAATGGATGAATGAGTCAGAAGAGATGTGTAATCCAAGACTGAGAATAGCAAGACCAAAAGAGAAAAACACGTGCCCCTGCTTAGAATAAACTGGAGGTGAAACAAGAAGGGGCAGCGGTTTGGCAGCACCTTGTAGCCCTTTCCAGGAGCTGCTATTCCCCATCGCTGAGTGACCATTCATTTACGCCATTAAAGCAATCTGTTTCTGACCTGCCAGAAGTCTTCTCTGAGGATCACAGAGCACCCACGATTCTCTTACTGCCTGGAACTCTTCTACCTCTGCCAAAGCTTTCAATCCCCCTTTTATTTACAATAACAAACTAGTGTTAGTGAAGTCTTATCACTTCTGTGTATAAAAAGGCAAAGTGCTTAATACTGGGACAAGTACAGTAAACAACATGTGATTATATATCCCCAGTAATTCCATAATCCAGAACTGTGGCTAACACATTCATCACTATACTTTTTTGTTTTGTTTTTTTTTTTTTTAGATGGAGTCTCACTCTGTCACCCAGGCTGGAGTGCAATGGCGCAATCTCGGCTCACTGTAACCTCTGCCTCCCGGGTTTAAGCAATTCTCCTGCCTCAGCCTCCCAAACAGCTGGGACTACAGGCACATGCCACCATGCCCAGCTAATTTTATGTATTTTTTAGTAGAGGCGGGGTTTCACCGTGTTAGCCAGGATGGTCTCGATCTCCTGACATCATGGTCCTCCCAAAGTGCTGGGATTACAACATCACTATACTTTCTTCCAGTATCTTTTCAGTCTGTCTAAGTACATCTGTGTATATGTCTGAGTGTGTGTGCACGCACCTGTGTTTTTCTGAATAGCTCCTTCCCTTAGTCCTTTCTGCTAATAGCATGGCCACCTTTTTCTTTGGAGATGGGTCTTTTCCTTTGAAACATGAGGACCAGAGAAGGGCTCCCAGTTAGAGAGAGGATCCACCCCGCCAGCTGCCTCAGTGATTGATCCTGATATGGTCATGTGATCCAAGCCAGTCCAGCCTGAGTCCATCCCCAGGAATTGTATAAATCCTTGTGATGGGGAAAGTTGATTTTTCTACCTGGCTTCCTAAAATGAGATAATGTTAGCTCAGATCCATCTTAAACCCAAAAAATAAATTAGCATGTTAAAATAGTTTTTAAAAATTTAGGGGAAGAATTGGAAAGGTTAAAATGTTAAATATTAGACAATTGGAATTGTCTAATAAACAAAGTACCTAACGATGTCCACGGCAATTAATAAGATCATCATAATACTGTCATATTATAATGGCTTTCATGTCATTTGAAGCTCGTTTCAAATGTCACTGTTATGTCTCATGTTGGCCCTGTTACATAAATGCTGCTGGGTGGACCAAAAACATTTTCTTTATTAGATTCCAGAGGCAACTGAATGTTGGTGTTATTAAAGGCAATTTGCATGTATAATTCACAGAATGTTTTGCAATCTTTCTGATTTAATGATTCAGTAGAAATGATCAAATAATCCTCTCATCATACCTGTAGAAGATAAATACAATGATCTATTTTTCCATCATAATTTGTCCTTGAAATATACATTTTTGTCACATTATGTTTGAAGTTAAAACCAAGAAGCTTGTACTGCTAAGTGGTTTGTGGGAGGGAAGCAATTGCCTCAGAAGAATTTTTTTAAAAATACTTACACTTTAGGACTATTACTGGAGACAAACTGATTTCAAAATGTTAACAAGATCTATGCCAGGTTCTCTGATCTTTGGATTTACTCTGACTTCCTAAAGTAAATGTGAAGTTTCCATGTTGTGGTTTTCTCCTTTTCTCCTTTTTTTCCCTTTTATGCTATTTATAAGAGGATATTACCTGTCTTATCATAGGACCATACCTCAAACCCAAAACCCCGACGTATGTGGGCTGCCTCTTTTTTCTTATTGGCACAAGGATGGCACTTCAATCTTCCTGCGATGTCCAAGCCAGGGCCACCTTTGCTTAAGGAAATAAAATCTCTTAGAATGGATCCCTTGGCTATCTCCCTCTGTTTATTCTTCCTTGAAGAAGTTAGTTCTCCCTGTCAGTGTGTGGAAGGCAGGCCCACCACAATTCTGAAATAAGCTTCTAATTTAGTATTCATCTTGTTGCTATAAAGAATGTTGAGCCATAAATACCATCAGAGATGGTGAATGATGTTTCAAAATATTTTCAATCAAACAAGATGTAGTTCTTTCCTGAAAGCCAACTCTGAATAAGCTGGCAAAACAAAATACATAATAGATCTTTGGTCCTTTGTTTGGGATGAGATCATACTGGTTGGGACCGCGTGACTGGCAGGGTTATCAAAGAGAGTTCTGTGGTCTTTGTTCACTTAACGCCTATATTAGTTTCCTAGGACTGCTATAACAAGTGACCACAAACTTGGTGGCTTAAAACCATAGGCCTTTACTCTCACAGTTCTGGAGGCCAGAAGTCTGAAATCAAGGTGTCAGTAGGGCCATGTTCCTTCTGAAGTCTTCAGGGGAGAATCCATTCTTTGCCTCTCCCAACTTCTGGGGCCTTTGGGTGTTCTTCGGCTTGTGGCTGTGTAACTCCAGTCTCTGCCTCCATCTTCACTCCTTTCTCCCCCTTCTCAAATTTTCCTCTGTCTTTCTCTTATAAGGACACAGGATTAGATTTAGGCTCCCCTGCCTACAGCCAGAAATTCAGGTGATCTCATCTCATGATCCTTAATTATATCTGCAAAGTTCCTTTTACCAAATAAGATCACATTCATGAAATAAGATCACATTAAAAAAAATTACCTATTTTTTTCGGTTGTGATCATTCAACCCACTAAAATGCCTAATGGTATTTCATTTGAAAAATGCACTGCTGGCCAGGCACAGTGGCTCACGCCTGTAATCCCAGCACTTTGGGAGGCCGAGGCGGGTGGATCATGAGGTCAAGAGATGGAGACAATCCTGGCCAACATGGTGAAACCCCGTCTCTACTAAAAATACAAAAATTAGCTGGGTGTGGTGCTGCATGCCTGTAGTCCTAGCTACTCTGGAGGCTGAGGCAGGAGAATTGCTTGAACCTGGGAAGCAGAGGTTGCAGTGAGCCAAGATCATACCACTGCACTCCAGTGTGGGTGACAGAGCAAGTCTCTGTCTCAAAAAAAAAAACAAAAACAAAAGAAGAAGAAGAAGAAGAAAAATGTATTGTTTGTAAATTCACTTAAACCAGTGTGGTTAGTCATAATTATTACATTATTTTTGCAGTTATTGGTAACATCCAGTAGTTGGGCTCAGGAAAGAGCTTTAGGTTTTCTCTCCCGACTCTTTACTACCTGGTAGTAGTTACAATGGAAGCAAGTCCCAAACAAACCAAATTCTGGCACATGCATGAACATTCATTACCGCCCTAGCACAAGAGTATGTGTCCCACTTGATATGGTTTGGATTCATGGCCCTGCCAAAATCTCATGTGGAATTGGAGGAGGGGCCTGGTGGGAGGTGAGTGGATCATCGGGGCGGATTTCCCCCTTGCTGTTCTCATGACAGCGAGTCAATTCTCACAAGATCTGATGGTTTAAACATGTGTGAAACTTGTCCCTTTGCTTTCTCTCTCTCCTGTTCTGCCATGGTAAGAGGTGCTTTCTTCCCCTTCACCTTCTACCATGATTGTAAGTGTCCTGAGGCCTCCCAGTCATGCTTCCTCTTAAGCCTGCAGAACTCTGAGTCAATTAAAGCTCTTTTATTTGTAAATTACCCAGTCTTAGGTAGTTCTTAATAGCAGTGTGAAAACAGACTAATACACCATTAATCCTGTAACTCAATAAATCGTCCATTTTTGGCCATGTCAGGCGCTTCAACCAGCACCTTGCAAGAACTCACTCACAGAACATACAACAATATTCAGGCAGCAAGATTAAGCTAGCCCTCCCACTCAGGGCTTTTCAAACTGCAGTTTGCATCTCTCTAGTGTGTTCTCGAATGAATTTAGTGGGTTGCAACCAGCAATAAAAATAACAACGAAACAGAGTAGAACTGAATAGACTATAGCATTACATAAAGTGAGGTAAGAAGCACATTCTCTGGAAAATTTTCCTTTCAGTGTGAATGTGTGTGTATGTGTGTGTACTGGGTCATGATGTAAAATATACTTATTACTGTGATCTAAAAAGAATGAGAGATTCTTTCCTAAGTGGAACTGGATACAGAATATAATGGAGTCCTTTGGCCTAAGGCACCACTCTAACAGCTACAGGCTGATGGGCACCTTAGATTCTTGTGGCCCATTATGGAAGGCAGGTTGTTTCTGCATAATTATTTCTAGTCAGTCTACAAAACCACTCATTTTATCAATAAAAAACTATCTTTTATGTCTTTCATGCTAATCAGAAATGTTCTAAAGATAGTTGCAGGCTTGCAGTAGCTTCCGCTAAAACGTTGGCTTCTCATTAAATTCAGTAAAATACTAACTCCCCCTTCAGGGCATATTCCTGATTAGGGCACTTCAACTGTTACTTACCCATATTAAAGTATAAACAAAATAATATATGCTGTATGTGCCGTAATGTGTGTGCATGTGTTTGTGTGTGTGTGTGTGTATCTGCAATACAGACAGCATCAATTATTCTTCCCTGTCACACGGAAGGCTTGCGGGGAAGATAAGCAAGTTAAAAGAAGGTCATAATCTAATACACAGCACAATATTGTGTTATAATGGTTGATATTCAACGTAAAACACAACACCAGAAAATCTACCTCTAGAAGCCTCTCCCACTACTTGAGTTAGCAGATTCATAAACCAAGGCAAGACTAGAGGATTACAAGGGCATAATCGCAAGTCTAAATGTTCAGTCTTAATTCACCAAGTGGTTTCCAGGTTTTCCTATGTCTATGGAGCACTAGCCGGTCCCTAAAAAAAGATAAGTAATTATTTGCTACTTGAAATATAATAAACATGAAAGGCAAAAACTGAGGGCAGATTATGACTTCCATTCTCCACTTTTCCCTGTCCATGAGCTCACCATCTGGAGTTGGTGAGGAATTGCTCTCAGCCTTTGGACATGATACCCAAAGGCTGAGCCCCAGAGCTGTCTCCATAATTTGCAGGGCCCAGTGCGAAATTAAAATGTGAGGTCTCTTGTCCAAAAAGCAGGGGTAAAGCTTGTTTCCTTTTTTCTTTCATCTTTCTCTCAACCTCTCATACTACTTTTTATTTGCTATTTAATTTTGTACCTCCTTGAAAACAGAGAAACTTGAGGGGTGAGCGTTCACCACCCGAGGTGCCTCGGGCCTCACCCTAGGTCTCACAGCACACCTACCAGAGCCCATCCCTTCCTGAGCCTGTCCTCAGGGCAGATGCAGTCCACGGGAAGAGAATGGCTCATTTCAGGGAGGAGGCTGGAGGTAGGACTGCTCCTGAACTTGGCCACCATGCCTCTGGGGCGTGCTCCTTTGTCCCATTGGACTGCACTTACAAAACACAAACAAATCCGATGATAAAATTGTTAAGGATTTCAAGATGGCACCCACAGTCCATTAATTCCCCAACAGGGGCCTTCTTGAGAGTGGAGCCCTATGTGACTGCACAGACCACAAGACAACCCTGGTGAGTATCTGCCACTTCCAAGGCCTCTGGTTTCTGGGGTCTCTTAAATCAAATTTATAATTATTTCCAATACCCTCACCAGAGTCAGTGACAAAAACAAGACTTTAATAATAAAATTAAGAAATGGCTAAAACTTCTACAGCACTTGCTATTTGACAATTCATATGACCTGGAATTCAGCCCCTAGAAACTCTTTGGAGTTGAGGCTCAAGTTCACCTTTATACATTTTAGGCTAAGCCCTGTAAAATTGTCAATGTTTCACCATTTTTCTTTTTACCAACAAAAACAGCCATTTCATAGTGAACATCAGCATTCCGCCTACCATGCCACTTTCATCCCCTTCGTGACATCAATCTTTGCTGCTGTTCAAATGTTTCTCAAACTCCTCTCAGACATTCCCACATGATGTCATTAACTAGACCACATGGGGTGCAGCTCCCTTAGCTGCTTGTGTCATTTGCATGTGACTGTCTTCACATGCCATTCCATAGGGTTACATCATTTCCATAGGGTGAGGATCCATGGTTGTAGCAGTCAGGAGGGGCCGGTGCAGAGCCCCTGTGGTAGAGACTTTGACTCCAGTGTGCCCTTTAATGTAATGGGTTGAGATCTTTGACTGGGGTTGGCCCCGTTCTGTTTCTTTTCCTGGCCACCCTCACTTTGGTGGTTAAGTGGATGGAAATCATCCCAACATGTCCCGACTTTGCTCTGTCTTTTCTTCTTCCCACAGTCGGACACCTGTACAAGGTTACTAACTTAAGTCCTAATACCAGCTTCTTTTGATGCCATTTTCTTCTCTTGCATAAAAGATTCTCCTTTCACTCCTTGCATTTCACCCAACAACGACTAGTAACTCAACTAGTAATTGAGGTCCTCTTCTCTATGGCTTGGTCAGCACCAGTGGTTATTTTATTAACATTTTTCTTCACTAAAAGTCAGTCATTCATTCCTGATGGTAATTGATGACTTAGTTGGCTCCCCAAGCATATTTAAATACTATAAAAGGCCCAGACTTAGCAATATATTTACTTGTTGATACTCATATTTAATTCATAGGGACTTAATAATGTTAATAAATGATAGACTGTGGATTTTTAAATTCAGCCATGCAAACATACACATATACATACAATTATACATAAACATATATGTGTATGCATATATATTATTTATTGCACTGTATAAAACATTATACTGGTGTTTCACACCAAGGATGGTCTTCTCAGGGGAATCAAACACTGTGGGAATAAGACATTTAGTATATAAATGACAATTATAGATGGCAGAAAGTGGTAAGTTCCAGAAGAGAGGTACCGAAAAAGACTGTTGGATTAGACTTGGGAGAGATTCCTGATGTTGGTGACATCACGGAAAACTTGCTATTTAACGTCACGTCCCCTCGGGCAGAGGGCATGGAGATACTCAAGGGGTGAGTGCTGATCTTCACGGTGCTCAGGGCCTTGTGTCTTAGTGCATGCAAGACCCAAAACCAGAGTGGGAACCAGCAGAACAGTTAGGATTGGGGGTCTGTCCCACCCTATTCCTTTAGGGAGAAGAGAGCTTCATTCCATTAGTACCTCAAAAGGCATCAGGCATTTGAATCATGGAGCCATGTGGTTTCATTTTATTTCACTTCATTTTACAACGTTATTGTCCCATTTTTTTCATTGAGAAAACTGAGGCTGAGAGCCTAGGTAACCTGCTCAAAGTCAAACAGTAAATAAGTGGCTGAGCTGAACTGTACACAGGTACGTCCACATAAGAAAAGATTTCTCATTTGTGAACAGGACTTAGTCTCACATAAACAACCCTCAACTCGACTTTATGCTGTAAAATCTAACATCAGCCTTTTGGCAGCTCCTGTGTCCTTAGCACAGTAAGTAAACACAGCTGAAACCCAACATGCCCACCCTCCCAGAGCCCATCAGAATCCAGTGCTTGTTCTACCTACACTGGAAGGAATTTGAGGGCCACTGAATTCCTTCATTGGCTCTTTGGTTCAAGTCCTCAGCCTTCTGCACCACAGATGATCAGATCTATCAAATCCGGAGAGACACTATGACTAAAAGGATTTCACCCCTTTTGGGAGAGCAGAGACCCTTAAACCATCCTGGACCACACTCCCTGTTCACTTGTTTGAAGTTTACATTGAACTATGATTTCCAGAGGTGGAAGAGAGATGCTTTGGGCACAGAAGTCTACCCTGCCCCCTGTCCCCACAGGGCACCTGCCGCTGAAAACCATGTGGAGACTGGGGAGTGTCTGCCCTTCTATCTGCAGCCAGAAGGCAAACTAAATAAACATGCAGAACACTTGAATCAAGAGCCCACAGAGGCACCCCCCACCTTTCCTAATCACCCACTGGTTTTTCCACCTACAAATCCTCCCCTGGGCCAGCCACCGTTTTCAGCAAGGCTGACAGCACTGCCTGCTGCTTCTGCTTCTCACCCTCTCCAGGGCAATTGTGATCCAGACCCACCAGCACCGCTGCCTCCCCCACCTACTCAAAAGAACAGCTTGAAAAATCCATTTGAACGAAATGGCTTGATTACAACGGGGAGACAACTGGTTGAATAAAGTCAATTATCTCTCTGGTGACAGGTGCCCACTTTGAAGTCTAGGCACCTGCTGGCATCATCACTGAGGCTGACATTTCCAGACCTTTATTAAAAGGCGGGTAATAGAATGCCAGGCCTGAATTTTTTTGTTGTTGTTTGTATTTCTTTTAAAGCACAGCAGAAGGGTGAGCATAGTCTGCAGCTGTTGGGTCATTACCTCTCCTTAGCCACCAGGTCAGGAACTAGGCCTTTGGATGCTGCCAGGGCCGTCAGAGGCTCAAACTGAGGCTGGTGCTGTCTGACTCGGGAGAGGGGAAGGTAACAGACTCTAGGCAGCAGAGCCAAAGGACTGTGCTCACAGCTTTAAGAGCCTTAACTACTCAAAGCCTGGAGAGCATTCAGATCTGAATATTTAGCAACAGGAATAGGGAATCAGGGCACATCTTATTAATCCAATTAGGGAGACATCACAGAAAACAAAAAACAAACAAACAAATGATTTCTCCAGTGCCGGGACGGTATTCCCATGTCCCGTCACTTTCACCTGTAGACTATATGCTCAGCCTCACTTTACTGCTGACCCAGTCTCCTTCCCTCTGCAAAGACCGTCTGTTCTCTCTCTCCACCCTCACTCACCCAGACAAATGGACTCTGCGGTTGTTAGAGCAGCAGATGGTTAGAGTAGGAGTGGGAAGTGGCAGCAGTAGGAATGTCTGGGGACCAAGGAGTGAAAGTGAAGTTGTTTATTCAACTAAAATATATTACTGTGTTAGTCTTGCACAGAGAAGAATACATTATGCTACTTGCCCTCTGGAAGTTCATACTTTAAAACAGGAGTCAAAAACTTCTAGTGCTTAAGGATCAGGCAGGTATTATAAATGTGTGATGGTAGCTGATGTATAATAGGGACCAGTGGGGACTGTGGAAAACTAGAGAACCCTTGTCCTGTCTAAAAGAGGCCACCTGGATTCAGCTCCAACCATGACTTGTCAAGTGATCTTGCGGGCCCAGTGTTGACAGAGCTTCAAATTTTGCAAGAGAAGTTGGGATCTGGATTTTTATTTTTTTATTTTTTTATTTTTTGAGACGGAGTTTTGCTCTTGTTGCCCAGGCTAGAGTGCAATGGCGCGACCTCAGCTCACTGCAAGCTCTGCCTCTCAGATTCAAGCGATTCTCCTGCCTCAGCCTCCCAAGTAGCTGGGATTACAGGCGTATGCCACCAGGCCTGGCTAATATTTATATTTTTAGTAGAGACGGGGGTTTCATCATACTGTTCAGGCTGGTCTTGAACTCCTGACTTCAGGTGATCTGTCCGCCTCGGCCTCCCAAAGTGCTCGGTTTACAGGCTTAAGCCACCACACCCAGCCGGGATCTGGATTTTATATGACACTTGCTGATACGTTAAAGAGTGTGTTAGCCTACAAAGCACATACGTGGTCTGTGGGCCACCATTTTATGATCCACATTCCAGAATGAGTTGACTTTCTATCCTAGAGGAGTTTTAACCAGGGGGAGTCACCATGATTATCATCCTATTTACCATTCATTAAGTGTTGCAACATGCCAGATTCATTCATTATCTTATTTAACCTCATACTATACACAGTGAGGGCATTATTATTTTGACGTTATGCAAACCTATGTGATATCTATCGCTCAAATTCAAGGCGAGAAACAGAAGGGACATTCAAACTTGCAAACTAAGAAAAATGTAATAAAAGGATTCACTACAAAGGAGGCGGCAAAGTTGGAGAACTCAACAAAGCATGATACAGTACCTTGGTGCAAGCAACAGCAGACAGCTATTTCCACCTCTATACTTGAAGACACAGGAGAGAGTGGTTACACAACCCACTGGGAGTAGCTGCATTGAGAGGGGTGTTGGACAGCAGTGGTGGCTTTTGGGAGTCATGCTCAGTGACTATGCAGAAAGAGAGCCAGGGAAAAAATATATTGACATCACTCTCCTTCCCACCTCTGATGTACATCGACCCATTGGCCCAACCAACTGGAAGCCTGAGGGGAAGGGAACCTTCTGACACAGTCAATTACCACTCAGCATCCTGGGCATAGAACAAGGAATAGAAAGGCAGAGAGTAGATCTAGAGGGACAAAGGCAAATCATCTAGCATATCCCTTGGCCAAGACTCCAGATCCAGTAAGCACTGAACCCAGGTTTATCTGACACAGCTGTGTCTATTCTTGCTACTGGACCAAACAGGCCCCTTTGTCCTTAAAAGCAAATACTATGTCTGGCTCTCTATCTAGACATTGTCCCATACTTAAACGTAACTGGTATCTTAATTTGTAACAACTCATTGCAGTTCATATCTAGGTTGTATAGTGTAATATTTAAGATCCCAAAGGTTCTTGAATCAAGCAATACTGGGTTTAAATTTCTATATGTACATTTTACTAGTGATCTGACTTCACGGAAGTCACTTAATCTTGAGACTCATTTATTGTTAGCCTCAGTATTCTATCATTTACAATGGGAATAATTGTACCAAACACATAGCATTTTACGTATAATGAGATTATATAGACAGAACACTGCATACAATGTCTAACTCATAAGGAGAGTTAAATAAGTGGTTGTCACAATTATTATGTGAATGATATTATTAGAAAATGTATTTTCTTTCAAGATTCTTAGCGCACATTCTCATCAAAAATTCACACAGCCAGAAGGCAAACTAAATAAACATACAGAACACTTGAATCAAGAGAGAACACAGAGGCACCCCCACCTTTCCCTAATCACACTTTGGTTTTTCCACCTACAAATCCTCCCCTGGGGCCAGGCACCGCTTTCAGCAAGGCTGACAGCTCTGCTCACTGCCTGTCTTCTCCTCTTCACCAGGGATAATATTTTTTTGTGATTCATTTGGCCAAACCAAAACTTTGCAAGCACATTAACAACAGCAGAATTGCGACAGTGGTTTATTAATACAACAAAGAGAAACACATTCAAGGGGGTAATTTCAGTCTTTTATTAAGCCCTATGCAAGAAGAGACTGGGAGAAACAGGGTCTCAATGGATCGCAAGCTCTTTAGGGATCAAGAGTGGGATGCAACTATCTGTCAAAAGGGCAGATAGATTAAATTTCCCTTCTGTTCCGGGTTCAAGCTGGGTTTACTTCTGGCACCGTATTTAGAGATGGACAATAAAATTCTGAAATATATCCAGAAAAATATGATCAGCTTGATTAGAGGACCTGAACCCATGTCACAAATGTAATAATTAAAGGAGCTGATTTCATTTAGATTGGAGAAGATATTTGGTGGGGCACATGAGTGTCTCATGTCATCAAAGAAGACAGGATGAGTTCTTCAACTGCTACAGTGAATAGAACCTGGCCCAGCACTGTGACTTCCTAAGAATATCAAGAGTGGCTCAGTATAAAGAACAACTTTCTGCCCTGAATTTGAATGCCTGCCTCAAAGAATATCAGTTGCTTCTCCCTGAGTGTATCCAAGAAGACTCATTTTGAAAGAGCACTCATTGAATATAGATGAATATTTCAATGGTACCATAGGCTTACACGAGGAATTGAAAGCTTATATCTATGATCCTCCTGTGTTCCTAATGCTCAGTGGGTACACACATGAGACTGCAGCTTCTCTTGCAAAATTGGAAGCTCTGTCAACACTGGGCCCACATGACCACATGCAATACCCAGCCAGAGCTGAATCCAGATGGCTTCTCTTAGACAAGAGCTCTCTGCTTTGCCACAGTATCCAGCAGTCCCTATTATACATCAGGTGGCTTCACCCATTTATAATAGCTGCCTGGCTCTGTAACAGCACAAGTCTTCAACCTCTGATCTAAATTATGAACTTCTAGAGGGAAAGTGCCATAGTGTGTTCTTCTCTGTGTGTGAACTCAGTGACATATTTTAGGTCCTAACACGGTCACTGCCTCATTAATGCCTATTTAAGTGGAATGTTCTGTGGATCACCCTCTGCCTTTACTTTAGTCTGTTATAGGTTTCAGAATCAGACATTGCAGTTTTGGTGGAGGGCAGAATTGGGAAGCAAAAGTCAATTCCTATTACCACATCTTCAATAACTCCCAGGAGGCAGATCGCTTCCTCTATTCATTTACTAGATTCTTCTTCTCCCAGTACATTTAAAGGGGAATCACATCATATCAACATATCATATTTGAACATTCTACCCATTAACATCTGCAATATCTTTAGACTTCATACATCGCCTGTCAATAATTTGTGTTGACTGTTTTCTGTGTGCGAAGAGCTAGGCCTCAGTATTGGCTAATTGTTGGCACACTTGCTGTTAGCGGTTCTGAAGTCACATTCTCCCCCACCGGGACCCAAAACACAATGTGACACCCATCTGCTGCCCTAAGAGTCTAACAGAATAGAATACTCTCAGGAAATCAAAGACCTTGAGTTGGGAGTGCACAGAGAAAAGATACATGCAGCATCAGAGTCTACATCTGAGCGTAGCTGCATTAACTTTGTCATTTTGTTATGATTGTTGATATTGTTATTGCTACCACCACCATTACACTACAGTTGCTTCTATTTTGGGTTCAGACAGCTCCTGTAAAGCTGCCAGCAGCCGACAAACACTGATGTCAACCACACATATCTGACTCCCTGAAGTGATTTCCGTGTGTGTGTGGTTGTGCCTATTCTTCTTGGCAGCGACTGAACCCTGAGGCCATAATTCATGGTACTTGCAAAGTTGAGAGTCTTGGTGTGATGGCATAGTGCAAAAGAGACAGGAAAGAAAAGCATACTCCTGGAAATTAGCATATGCTGTTTTTTAGTGCTGGAGGCCAGGAGCCCAGTGGAGCTGAATGGAGCTCCATGCTTGTGAGTGTGAGAATTCGAGTCCAGCACTTTCTCACGTGCTGTTTCACAGCCCAGGATGGCCAGAATGGCAAACTTCCAATGGTGGAAGTTCAAAATATCTGAGAGATGGATAGTTGAGGAAGCAGAGCAGCAAAATAGAAATATATATAATACTGTGTTTAAGGGAATATTTTAAAAAATATTTTCTTGAAACTCAGAGGAATTATATTACACAGAAGACTAAATGACAGAATTCACACCAAGCAGTTGCTCAAAGCCTTGTTAGACTTGGGCCTTGAAGTTTGTCCATTGGGTGGAAAAGTATGTCTACTGCTGGGTACAGGGGATGTGTAGAGAATAAAGCTTAATCTCTCTCTTAAGGGGAACCCACTGGTGAAAAAGTCAGAGCACAAAAGAAAAAGCATATTAATAACACACCACAAAATATGTGTGCCAGACAAACAGCCAGTGTCACATGGGGAGGCGATACCAGGCTTTCTCAAAGAGTAGCTTTTGAAAAATAAGGAGTATTTGTGAGAGAAAAATGTAGATAGCAATTGCACATAAATCCCTGGGATTGTTGAATTTCAGAATTCATAGCTGAAGCTTTCATCTAACAACTCTAATACATGAATATCGTATCTTTTAAGTTCAATGGTCAATGAGTAGACAATGACTATGTAACATTTCATGCAAACTATTCCAGTGAACAAGACAGATAGGATCCTTGTTTTCTTTGGGTTTTTATATTCTAGAGAATGAAGACAGATAATAAACAAGCCAAAAAATTGGAGGGATAGTTTCTGGTAGTGATAAGCACTGTAATGGAAATGAGACAGGCACCCAGAGATGGGGTGGTAAGGGAGGCCAAGAGGGCGGGCTGCTTCTTTAGACTGTGAAATCTGAAGACATCTGTGAATCAAGCACAGAAAGCTGTTTAATAATAAGACCCTGCTGGGGACTAACTGACAATGGATGAGGAATTTGTTTTGAGGGTTTTCCTCATTTCTCTCCACCCCCATTCAACCTGAGCATCTGACTCAGCACAATTCTTACCAAAGTGTTAGGCAGTGTATTAGTCCATTTGTGTTACTTTAACAAAATACCTGAGACCAGGTAATTGACGAAGAATAGAAATTTATTTCTTACGGTTCTGGAGGCTGTAAGTCTGAGATCAAGGGACTGGAAGGTTCCATGTCCAGTGAGGGCTGTTCTCTGCTTCCAAGATGGAACCTTGTTGCTGTGTCTCCCAGAGGGGACGAATATTGTGTCCTCACGTGGCAGAAGGGACACAAAGGCAAAAAAGGATCTAATTAATTATCTCCAACCATTTCATAAGGCTGCCAGTCCGTTTCTGGGGGTTTCACCCTCATGACTTCTTTACTTCCTAAAGGTTCCATCTTAATACCATCACACTGGGCTGGAAGTTCAACATGAATTGTGAAGGAGACACAAACATTCAAACCATAGCAGGTAGCGATAAGAACATTAGGCAACAGTGTTCACAGGTGTGTTCCTAGAATCTTGGTGGTTCCTCAGAGGTGTCTGGCAGTTCAAAAGAGGACCTAGGGTCCAAGTATGTTAAATATTGACAAACAAGCATCCTTTCTAGAAGAAGAAAAAAGAATTTTCACCAGTGCTCATGCACTCTGAAGAGCAAGAGCCCTGACTTCCAAAGTTAGGGTTAAGGTGCTGGCTCTGACAAGGACTAGACTTTCGACCTTGTCGAGTGTGAGTAGTCTCTGAAATACCCCTCCCAGGGCTCCAATTCTACTTGCCTGTGATGTGACCGGGAGTCTTGAGCTGTGGGGAAGAGGATGAGGTTCCCGGGCTTCGCTTCTTTCTCCCTCCTAACTCCCCACCTCTTACCTGACTCTTAAAAGTTTTCTGAATGTGAATCACCTAGACTAGTCCTCCCTCAGGAGAAAAAAAACAAAGCATTATTGGTCTAGAATTTTCCATTTTGGAGATGTTTCTAATGACTATATGATATTACACTGAGTGTCCTCTTTTCCTTTCCTGGACACAGAATCCTGAATTTTGCCTTTGGTTGGAAGTCACCCACACACACAAGTCCCAGGAGTCATGGACCCTAGGGCTCTGATATATGGCCACCTTATAATCTCCTTGCAGAATCTTAGGAGATTTCTTTGGCCACAAGACACCCCTTACTCCATCGGGGTATGCAAAGATTCCAAACTCCTCACTCCAAAACACGAGCAAGAACAAATATCAGACACAGAGAGGTGCACTTGTAGTTATTTTTTATGCTAGAATTCCCAATCCCATCTTTCCAGTTTGGCACCATCTCAGCATAACTGTATGCCATCCATGTGACAAAGGGAGGTCATGGCGGGGAGAATTGCAGACAACTACTCCCTCCAGCATTGACTTCATATTCCACTTAGGCCTGCCTCCATGGTACTGTACGCTAGACACTGCAAGATCCTAAATGCTAGACTTTATATACCAGAAAGAGAAATATGTATCCTTCACCCTTCCCCTACACGCTTATACTCACACTGTCCTTACGGATGGCATGCTCTGACTTGGTGCAATGTCTGTAGGAGAGTGAGCGGAACAGAATATTTCATCTGAGTAGGCAGAGTGAGTGAAACAAGGCAAAGCCACCAAGAAAATCTGTCCCTTGGCACCCTTCTGCCCTGAGAAGGAATGAGTGTGTTTGCCTTCTCAGATCTCCTCATAGTTAACATCAGGCCTCCTGTCATTGGTGCTGGGGTCGGGGAGATGGGTATTGCTTTTTTCTGCTTCCTGAGCCACTTCTAGGGAAGTAGTAAAAGATGTTATTGACAAGAGTATGTAGGGCTTGTGAAATGGGTGAAGAGGTAAAACCAGTTGTGAACAACTCCTAAAAAATAATAAGGTGCTAATTAAGTAATAAGAAGTAATATTTTGGAACAGAGCCACAAGAACTTATGTGTCCAAATGAGTACTGTTTCCTTCAAAGTGGTACCTTTGGGAAAATAAATAGTTATTCCAAAACCGCTGCCATTGATCAAACTATTTCTGAAACTGGAATATTTTCCTTCAAGCCAGTTCTAGTAACACCAGAAAACAGCCTAATTGGAGCATCACATCTCATTTTTCACAATCAAATCCAACTCCATACAGCTTGAGCATCCATCAGAAGCTTCCAGAGCTGCCTTGCGAGCCTGCAGTTGGGCTCAGATGGTGGGCAGCTGCAGAGGAGCCACCTCTCACAGTGTCCTCTGTCTTAATCACCCAGTGTCGATGCTACCCCCATGCCCGAGATCTCCCATTCCCACTCCATCAGTGAGCCAATGACCACTTTGGCTTCCTAACCTAGTCCTGAGTCAGTAGGCCCTTTAGGTATCAACCTTTTTTGGCTAAAGTCTTTCCTTCTCAGGGTTCATCTTGGTTATTTTGGCATTGATGGAAATGCACTTTGCAGACTTCCAATAAGGGTAATTAACCAGGAATGTCATGGACCAAGAGCCCCAGTTGCTGTGCTCTAAATGGGGGTCAAGCTTTAGCCACTGGCTGCTCCCGGTCAACCATGGAACAAGGCAGGGATATCATTTCTGGGAGCTACGGGATTACTCTGATGGCCAAATTTGGCAGAAGGATGCCCAGGGACTGCATCAAAACTCCATTAGACTGCATGGCCATCCAGAAGTTTCCATCCAGCCTCCTCCCCTCTCTCCCTCACTTGGTATCAGACTTGCCTTGAGGACTGAAGACCCTCCAGCACCCTCCATATTTTTTCTCAGGTGGGCATATCTCTTCATAAGAAGCCTTGTACATTTCATCTCATCTTGGCATCTTTTTCTCAGAGGACTCAGACTAATAGAGTCCTTCTATTTGTTTCCCCAGTTTTAGCTTCTTCTGATTTCCAGTTCTCACACATCTGTAGCCCTCCTTCCTTAACCAGGACACTTAGTGTCTGGGGACTCTGAACTATAACCAGAAGCATCCATTCTGGCCACCCCCTGACCTGAACCTCAGAGGGCGCTTAATTTCATCCTTTTATAATAATAGAGTTTATTTAACTTTCGGCTATTTGCTGTATGAGTCCTTCACAGCTGACAATTTGCTGTATTGAGAATATCTCAGAATGACACATGAACTCTAGAGGTTCTTCCCAAGAGGAGATCCACATCCTCACTACCACCCTGAGCCCTGGAAGCATCACTAGAACAAATATCTAGTATCTGATAAGAACTATTTTGAAGATACCACCACCCATTTGACTGTTCTAATGTATATTTGTTTTAAAAAGTAGTGTGGTTTTATTGCTTCACCTCATGCACTAGAAATACATAAACAAGCAGAGAAGAAAAGGCTGTCCTGGGCCAAATATACCCCAAGTACTTGGGTTGGGAAAGAGGGAATTATTGTTAACATGAATTGACTGAGTTAGAGGGAAGCACCCCAAACTTCCTGCCCAAGAAAACTGCTCCAGTTTTCAAAATCCAGTTCCCACACCTTTCTAGAACTTTATAGCTCGTGGTTCTGTTACAGACACTAACCTAGGTACAGGGTTGTTACTGACCACCCCATCAGAAGTATGCAAAACACTCAGCTCTGTTTGCAGCACCCAGAGGTGCCCAATTTATTAAAGATCCAGTCCTTCCTACCCATTTATGAGCTCATGCCTTACTTTCAGGTACATTTTAGAAGAAAAACTTAGAGCCACTCCCATTCCAGAAAGTTGATAAATTGGGATTCTTTATTCATGATCTGATTGTCAGGACGAAATATCCCAAGGAAAAGCCAGGTAAGCAGTTGCACACCTCGATCCAGAAAATATGGAAAAGATATCTGTATTGCTAGGAACCCATTTCAGGATTTAAAAATGCTTACCCAGGGCCAAAGTTTCTGGATGATCCTCCCATTCACCACCTGTGCGCAGAGACTATGAAAATAGAAGGGAGAGGAACCAAACACTGCCTCTCCAAGCTTCACACAAGAAAATAGAGGGAAAACGTTAAGTGTGCAATCCAGGGCAAACAGCATCAAATAGAACCACAAGAGATAAGAATATTTCAGTGTCTGAGTGTCATCATCTATGAGACTTCCTTAGACTCTACTGAATCACCGCATCATTTTGATGTTCCATTGCCCAAAATCTTCCCCACTGAGCTAGGGTGAAAAGTGGGTAAAATTCAGTCCTGCTTGGATTATCAAATTGTATTCAACAGTTGAAAATAAAATGTCCTGGACTTCCTACTAGGGAGTAAACTTTTCAGTGATGGATTTGAGAAGTGTGTATTATCAAATGGCTATGGCAAAAGAAAAAAACAAAAACAAACAAACAAACAAACAAACAAACAAAACGACAAAGGAAGATAGCATCTTTCTTTCCTGTAGAGGTCTAACAATTTGAAAGGGTACCCTAAGATACTTGAGAGCCCCTTCTTTCTTTCTGGTGTTGATAAAAAATGTCATTGGGGACATAAACTATCTTGATGTGTTGGTGTCTTATATCTATATTTCATTATCTTACATCTGGATGATATAATTTTCTTTGAAAGGATATTGAAACTACCCTTCTATTGAACTACCTGGGAGAAAGCACTCTGAAATATCCCCCTTGCCATAACCAATCCTGCTGGCCTTAAATATGTAAGGAATAAGGTATCTTAACAAAATCGATTATAGGGCCCCAAAGAAATGGATGAGCAGCGGCCTTCAAGACTATCACTATTACCAATTGACCCTATTAAAGTAGATTTTTACATCTTATAGGATTCAGTGGGTATTCAGAAGTTTTGTAGAAAAGTATTCCATTGCTCCACAACCCTTTAAATGGTCATGGCCTTAAACCCTCAATTTGCACTGGGAACACTGAGAAGAAAGGGAGAGCTTGCGGACCAGAGGAGAGTCAAGTGTCGTCACAAACCCTGAACCCTCTGGAGGTCTTCAGGCATCATGTGTAGGCAGGTGCTCAGGTTTTCAGGAGCTGTTTAGTGGGGCTTCTGATGCGGCATTTGCTGACCCCATCAGCTCTTTGTCTGCAATAAAACTATAGGTCTTGGGGCCTACAGGTTGAACTATAGCAAGTTCAGGAAGTCCCTAATTTTCACCAGCAGAAGTCTGCCTGATAGTGAGGCTTGATATCCCATCCACAAACTACATTGCTTTGCTGTAGCATAAGGAGCCAGTGGCACAGCCTGTATTTTGTTTCAACATGGGAAGAGTTTGGTATTTCACTGGTAAAACTCCAGACGATGTAATTGGTTTGTGTTTGGGTTATCTTGTATAAAATAAAATAAAAATTATTTTTAAAGGCTAGAGTCCCTCAGTGTGCAATATTCTTACACTGTGTGCAGCCTGAGAGACCTGGGACCCACAGAAGGAGCAGCCGGCTTACATCACAGTGTGAGACACGTGTTCCTTGACAGATAACGGGACTCATCAGCCACACTTTTTAAAAGCTGGTATTTTTCCTGC
Source organism: Homo sapiens (assembly GCF_000001405.40). Classification (NCBI taxonomy): domain Eukaryota; kingdom Metazoa; phylum Chordata; class Mammalia; order Primates; family Hominidae; genus Homo; species Homo sapiens. Next base: position 91,542,164 of record NC_000015.10, on the reverse strand, counting down.
TGAGCAGTTACCATTGAATTCATATACGTTAAATGGTTGTGTAGTAGGTTTGAAATTTACAAACATAAAATTAGATGTGCAAGAATATAACTTTAATGTTCTGTAACTGAACACCTTCATCAATCAGGATATGCTAACTACAGTAACAAACAACCCTCAAGTCCCAGTAGCTTAAAGTAACAAAGGTTTATTTCCCACTCATGATGCATGCGTAGCGTGGGTCTATTATAGTTATTTACAACCCCAGGGTGATAAAATCTTTATCATCTCATGCCATAACCATCTTAATATAAGTCTTCAGGATCTCCCACGGTCGAGGCAGAGAGCAGGGAGAGTCGTGCTACAGCCCATAAGTGCTTCCACACACAAGTGATATACATCATTTCCACTTGTATTTCACAGTCCAAAGGAAATTGAATGGCCACACACAAAACTTTTTAGGAGTATGTGTCCCAAGGGAGAGGAAACAGACACTTTCATAAGCCCTAGTAATGTTTACTATACCATCTTAGCTTTCAAGCTACCACTTCCACTGATGTTAAGCATTTCTTAATTTTGGCATTTAAACAGGATCACTATAAGTGCTAAGCAAGTCAGGGTCCATGGTTCCTGCTCCTCCCTTCTGATATGATTTCTGTCTCTAGCCCTTCTATGTAGTAATTCTGGAATCCCTGCTGAAGGTGACTCAGTCCCTTCCGGCTTAAATTGTCTCTTAGGGATATTCAATGAGTTTGGGATTTAAACTCACTCAATCACAGCTGTAGTCTTCTCACTCTCCCTCTCCCACTGCCCTCAACTCAAGCTGGGGAAGTGGCATGGGAAAATCATCTCAAGGCTCAAATAAAATTTCCTGATTATGTTGGCCATCTGAGCAGGGAAAGAATCAACAATCAATGTAAAATCTGGGGCTGTGGTGGGGAGTTATCATAAGATTTGAGGACATGGCTTCCAACTGTAAGACTGAGTCTCAAAGCACCCAGCAGAAGAACTCTCTTCCATGGAAAACTGAACTGGAAATAACACAAAACAACACACCTCTAGTTAAGTGTGGGGAAAACCTTGTCTTTTCAACCTGACAGCTGGAACCTTGGATACGCATTTGCAGTGATGGATCACTTCAGTCGTTTTGCAGAATCTTATCCTACCCAGAGACTCTGGACTAGAAGCCAAACAGAAATCCAAGGTAAATTGAGACAAATTTCCTCAAAATATCAGTTTCCTGTTGGCACTCACTCTGATCATGAAAAGACTTTGAGGGTCTACTACTCTATGTAGTATTCCAGTTAGCTGGGATAGAAATGTTCTGAACTATGCCTTATCTCCTTCAAAGGGATTTTCAAGTGAAATATTTAACCAAATGACATTTTGCCAAGGGTGCTGTATCCATATATTTTTATATGAAAACCAACACGTAGAATTTACTCTTCATGATTCAAAATAGTTATGTGCTCTGCATTTGAGCAGGACTGAAATTATCCATTGATATCTGCTTTGAGATGCAAGAGAGAATTGGAGGTTTGGGAAATCTTTCCCAATGTAAAGCCAAAAGAAAAAGAAAAATCCAAGGCTTTTTTCAGTTTGCTACATCTCAGCTCTCTTTAATGGTGATGACAAGTGTGATGTCTGCATCTGAAGACAAGAGCTTCAAAAAAAGGCATCAAATAACATGCTTAATTTGGGCATTCCTGGTAAACATAAAGTATCTGACCACTTAAAAACTGCTCCCATCAAATGGTATAACAGGGGGTACTATAATGAATTCGCTAAGAAGCCCTTGAGTTTGGCCAAATCAAAGGATTCAGATAAATGGCTAATTGTCCTTAGATTACTGAAAGAAAGGGCTAGCTTTCTGCCACTAAGTTCAGAAAATGGAAGCCAGAACATTTAAAGCAAACAGTCACAGGGAGGAATCTTGAAAGATGCCAAGATGCACGTAAAACCTCACTGAGAGCAGGGTCGAGTGGAGCAGAACCTCAGGGCTAGAAGTCTGCACTGATGACACCCAAGATTTAGGAGCCAACTAGGCTCAACCACTGACCTGAAATTTAACACGTGGCATTGGAGCCAGACATCCAGCACTGCATGTCCTTGGCACATATTAAGAATCAGGGTAACAAGGAGGCCAGGCGTGGTGGCTCACGCTTGTAATCCCAGCACTTTGGGAGGCCGAGGCGGGTGGATCATGAGGTCAGGAGTTTGAGACCAGTCTGGCCAACACAGTAAAACCCCATCTCTACTAAAAATACAAAAAAAAAAAAAAAAAAAAAAAAAAAAAAAAAAATTAGCTGGTCATGGTGGTGGGCGCCTGTAATCCCAGTTACTCAGGAGGCTAAGGCAGGAGAATTGCTTGAACCCAGGTGGCGGAGGTTGCAGTGAGCTGAGATTGTACCACTGCACTCCAGCCTAGGTGACAGAGGCAGACTCCATCTTAAAAAAAAAAAAAAGAAAGAAAGAATCAGGGTAACAAGGGGTCTTGTTCTGGAGAAATTACCACCAATACAAGGGAAGACCCTCAATTCAGAATTGCTCTTTGTCAATGAGGAGACTTGCTAGATAAGAAGCCCCTAGGTTTCAGGCAGGAACATGCCCTTTTCAAATCCTGGACCAAGCAACTACATTTTTCTGGTGACATCGTAAGATTGCAGTGGGCACAATGGCAATGGACAGCGGGGCCCAAGAGGCACAGAGCAGTGGCTCCAGTTTTGTTTCAACCAAGCAATTGTGTCTCAGATTGATGTGCTGGACTATAGGGGCCCTGAGAGCTTGGAATTTTCACAGAAGAAGTGGGAATCCTAGAGGTCAAAAAAAAATAACAACCTTGCCAAAGTAATATGGGCTTGAGCTGTTTGATGAGAGGAATAAAAAGATATTCTCTTCCTTAGAAGTCCAAATTGTTGAGGTAGAACATCTTTGTTAGAGAGCTTCTTAGGTGTTTGTTGGCCTCTTCAACTAGAATTTGAATTGCTGGAAAGTGGAAACCATGTTCATTCATCACTATGTATTCTAGAATACGTTACAATTCTTTATAGTAGAGGTCACCATTTTCTGTAAAGGGCCAGATAGTAAAATTTTAGTCTTCTGGGGGCAGATAATCTTTGTTGCAGCTGCTCAACTCTCATTGTATTGCAAAAGCTGCCATAGATGACACACAAACAAATGGGCATGGCTGTGTCCCAATAAAACTTTATTTACAAAAACCACAGGCCACAGGATCATAGTTTTCTGACCTTGCTTTCCTGGTGGAAAGACGGTAAGTTCTGAGGCAAGATAATCCTTATTTTAGATTCTAGCTCTGCCTATCACATAACCTTTCAATCAGTTTTCTTTTCTGAACAATAAGGTGTAGTAATATACCATACATAGAAATGAAAATGATATCTGTGAGAGATCTTGAAAATATTTGGAGCATGAGAAAGTACTCAGTAGATATATTTCCCTAGTAGGTGCTTAATTCATAGAATTTAAATTTGAAGATGTTTTGCTCTAAAAAGTGTCTTGACCAATCTTTCCTACAGAGTTCTTTGCAGCTCATCTCGAGGTCATGTTTGTCATTGATTTCAGCAAAAAGGCTGTGCAATCAAAAAAGCTCAGATGGAATTTGGGGGGTAATTCCAATTGAGAGATGTTGATTTAAATCTCTAAGGCCAATGTACTAACTCAAAGTTGAAAGGAATCAGGGAAATGGAGCCTTCAGACTTACTGTGTGATTAACCTTTGGCACACAGAAAGAAAGAGCATAATAAATATGTAGCATTTGCTACACTCTTTTGATCATGAAATTTAAAAAAAGTAAGAGTCTGTAAACATTAGGAGATTGTTCAGGAGACTCTGCTGAATTGGATTAATGTCTCAACAAATCATCCTCTGATGAATTCCATAATGAGAGCATTTATTGACCTGCACGTTGGAGAAAACAACTTACAAGAAGAATTTGCTGTAAAATATGTGTTTAACGGGAAGAACAAAGCTAATGTTTGGAAAGCATTTTTGTTTGCCAGGGGTGTAAACAAAGTGTTTTATTTCCCCTTTCTCTCTGTGGAGCTCTGCTTGAAACATCATGCTATAATAGAGGCAATTACATATAAAGGGACAGATTGTTATGTTCGTTTCCAGTGAAAATGGCTAGACATATGAGCTCTGGCATTGTATGATTCAGGTAAGCGCCGCAGTCTTGGAAGGCTGACACCTAATTCCTCCCAGCCTTTTCAGTGTGCAAGGGGCTACTGTGCATTAAATCTCTAAGGCCGATGTACTAACTCAAAGTTGACTCAAATGCACAAAAGAGTGTGCATTTCTCTTTTGTGATGTTTAGTGCGAGCTGGATTGAATATTTCACAAATTGCTCCTTTCTCCACGGATTTTTGTCTTTCCATTTCTCTCACCAAAACTGCATATGAAATTTTCAAATTTATTTTTGAAAATAAGATGGAGGAGTGGATCCAATCATCTTGATAAAGAAGTTAGTGTGGAGAAACATCATGGCAAGGTATTAGAAGGGTGCCTTTGGTGAATTCTGACTACGAATGACCCGCGAAGGGACATGGTGTTAGTTACCATGCTACTCAACTCCTCAGAGTCTCTGTTTCCTCATTTATAGTATGGGAGAATAATAGCTACGCTTCAGGCAGAGGAAATTAAATGATAATGAATATAACACACATAGCCTAATAGCAGGCACAAAACATATGATCAACAAATAGCATCTGTTATTACATTTATTTATTTATTTATTTATTTATTTATTTATTTATTTACCCAAATCAGTAAGCTATGCTATTTTGGATACAGTGAGTTAGCTGAGGAAGTAGAACTGCTAAGAAGAATTTCGACAAAGAGTGGAGCTATTCAATAAATATTGCTTGATTTGATTTGGCACAGCCATCATTCTTATGCTCTGCTGGTTCCGAATTAGGCCATAGATATTTTCTCAGCTATTTTAATTAGAATCAGATGGAGGAAGAAACAGAGGCAATGAATATAAGAATCTGTTTTATATCACTCCCCCGAGGATGGACAGAGGAAATAATAGGTCTTTTCAATGTTTAATTTCAGTGACTCAAACAGGAGGAAATTTGCCAGGACAAACGGGGCTGTTTTGCCTCCCTGGGTGAAGGATAATTTGATACAAAGCTCCCTTTTCCAACAACAGAAGTTAGGACCATGACTCAGCAGACCAGACAGGCAAGAGACTAAAAAAAAGTCTCTGTGTGCCCTTCTGGACTTTGGATTGAAAGCTGCCTGTTTTATCTGGTCTGCTTATCATATTACTCCACAGTTGCAATAGGTGTCTTATTACAGTCTCGGCTCACCCCCATCAAAGCTATGTGCTCATAATGATATTGATGTCAAGACTGTGGCAGGTGAATAGAGCACTTTGTTGAGTGTGTCTCTAATTTCATGTGCCTAATGGTATGTGCGGTGTGCACCTGCGAAGTATAACCACATATGTACAGGTTGCAGGGAGGTGGTCTTTTTCTGCCTCTGCAGTGCTCAGGCAGAGAAATTCAACTTCACTGTTCATCTTCTATGAGCAGGCTGAGGAGGTTAATTATATCTTACATATCCTATTAAATCTAGCATTTGTCCTCCTTGGAGTTAGATTTATAGAATGAAGCAAAGCAATAAAGAAATTGTAAGCCACCCAAGTTACTGTAAGACCACCTGTGACCAAAGGATGGCTCAGTTTCCAAAAAGAACTCTGGGAAAATGTGCCATGTGACCCACATCCTTGCACATACAGCTGTTCTCCTTTATTTAGGCTGATGACACACATTCCCTAAGGCAGAGACCAGCAGGGTGCTGCACCCTGAGAACACATACGAAGCTTCATGTCTTTCTTTGACCCAACAGCCAACTCTGAGTTCAAAGAAAATAGCAAGTGGCTTAGTCCATTTGGGCTGCTATGACAAAATACCATACACTGGGTGGCTTATAAACAAAAACTATTATTTCTCACAGTTCTGGTAGCTGGGAAGTCCAAGAGCAAGATGCCAGCACATTCAGCATCTGGTGAAGATCTGTTTCCTGGTTAACAGATGACACCTTCGTGCTGTGACCTACCATGGTAGAAGGAGCAAGGCAGCTCTCTGCGGCTTCTGTGGCCCAGAGACACAATATGGACACTAATCCCATTCATGAGGCTCCACCCTCATAACCTAATTACCTCTCAAAAGCCCAACCTTCTAATACCATCACACTGGGAGTTAGGATTTCAACATATGAATTTCTGGAGGACACAAACATTTAGACCGTAGCAGCAAGAATGGGGGAGAGCCAGTTCAGATCATCTACAGGTTTTCTGGAAGCTAATTTAGTTTAGTTTCATTTAAGTTTAGTTTAGTTTCATTTTGCTCTTTCTTAATTCATTGCTGGATTTATTATTTTCTTGGTCATGAGCTAATTTATGCTATAGTAGAAAGGGGTAAATACAAAACACAATACCCAAAGCATGGAAAGCCTGAAAAGTGAGTAATATGCTTGTAAGCTGGCTTTTGGGGCAGTAGGGAGGGAGCCTGGGTTATATAGCCTTTGCCAGTTTCCACGGTGTAAATACTTCAGTTGTGTTCAATTTGAAGCTACCAACAGCTTAACAACTAGCTCTCAACATTTCTAAATATTTAACAATAGTCTCTTGCTAGCCAGTTCCAGAGAAACCACTGGGTAAGCCCAGTGCCAAGAGGCAACTCTTGTTAAGAAAATGGCTTACTTATCTCCAGTCGTTTGGCTGCACTTTTCACACAAGTATAGGTCTATATTATAAGTAAAATATTATATGCTGGTTTTCCTAGTGCTTGCTTTTTGGATTTACCCCATGACCACATTGTATGGATTTTTCATAAAGTGTTTAGTTAGCCAGCCTTTTTTTTTTTTTTTTTTTTTTTTTTACATGGAAGAAATTGCACAGGACTTGGAGGAAAACAGAACTAGGTTCTAATAGTGGAGTGACTGCTTGCTAGTGGTAAAGATATGGGAACATTACTCAACCTTGTGCAACCTCATGTCCTTACCTTCAAGGCGGAGATAACAAATACCTAATTCACAGGGTAAAAATAGTGGGCATTTATTAAGCAGACATAAAATTTTAGTTCCTTTCTTCTCACTTCCAACCCCGATTTAGTGGTTGGTTTTTTCTTCCTGCACACATCAGTCTTACCAATTGGGAATATCCTTCTTGGGCCCCTCCTCATGAGAAACGAAGAGCAGAATAGTATCATTGCATAAAGTGGCCTATATCCTCAGATGGCTGCGGTTTCTTAGAGAATCAGGCCCACCTTCTTAAGTTGCTGTGATTTTTTTTCAAGTTGACTTGCTAAGCAGAGTGGCCAAGTTCACAGATTGCTAGTCAGGAGGAAAAAGGGCTGTTGACGCATTTTATAGCTACTTGGATTCAGAGAATATCAATGCTAAAAAGGACCTCGTGGAAGAACTAACCCTGAAACTGCAAATAGGAGTGAAAAATATTGGTTATGTGATCATATAAATACATATAATATCAATATTGGTAACATGTAATGCATTTAGTACAATGCTTATATTAATAAATTTCATGCCTTTCTGTTGGAATGAACATATATTTAGTAGATCAAAAGTGTTTCACTGGGTATGGCCAATCTGAGAGCTTCTCTCTTTCTTTCTACTGGAAGAGGCAACATAGCATGAAAACAGACAATCAGGGCTGAAGAGGAAGACACAATACTGGATCCACACATAGCACAGACTGCTAGCTGCCTGCTGACCATTCTCCCTCTCCTTTTTATGAATAGGATTTCCAGCTGCGGAAGCCTGGGCCCCTGATGCCAGTACCAATATTGTGCTCCGTGTCCTGGGACTCATTTTACATTTAAGAAGACATAAACTTTTATCTTGTTTTAAACCCTTATTATTTGGGGTGTCTGTCCCATGCTGTGAGACCTAATCCTATCTGATATGTCACACCATCCAAATCCAGGAGATCTGGTCCCCAAATATATAAGGTGAATAGAATTGGAAAAGTGAGAAGCCCAACTGGACCAAAGAGCATGTGATTATAACAATCATAACAACAGTGGCCAGTCAGTGGTCACCTACTATGTACCAGGCAGTGTTTTGAGTTTGTAAATATGTCATGCTATTTAACCCTGTGAAGTAAGTATTGTTGTTCTTATTTTGCTCAATGGTGAAAGAATAACTCCAAGGTCACTTTAGACAACCTGGAATGGAGCTAGGATTGAACCATAAACTTGTCTGACTCCAAATCTCATAATCTTAACATCTTGTCATCAGCTTTTTCAAAGAAATAATGAATCTGAAAGCACACATGCATGGTCTCAAAAACCACAGTCCTTCTATAAAGCTTTTAAGTATCTGTCAGGGCCCTAATCATTTCTGCAACATGAATGAAATGGATGAAAATTAATTTTAATATTGGTTTTACATTAATATGGAAGCTAATGTTTGAACTAGATCAGCCAAAGAGTCCCAGTGCTTATCTAAAAAGCAAGTGACTAATGTATGGAGAAATTCATAATTCTGTACTCTACATACCCTTTAGCATTTATTTTTCCTTCTGGCTGTAGATTTTTACAGGATAATAGATGATTCTGCCTGTGGAATACCTCACCTGATTCCGATTTTTCACTTGAATTCATACTCCTCTGACTGGAAAAGAATTCTTCATTTCTATGGCAACCAGGGTTTTGTTCCCTGTCCCCTCCATTTAAAATTCCAAGCAGATACCCTTTATTTCAGAAATGAAATAAACTGTGGAAACAGGTGACTATTTTTAAAACATGTTTTCCTCTACATGTGGTCTCTTGCCATCAAGTTAGAAGAAATATTCCTTACAACCAACCTTCCCTGTGCCTTCAATTTTGTTCTTAAGTGCTTGTCATTGGGGCAATTACCAGTTGGGCGAACAACTTTTCAGCGAGGCCTGGATTTGAGGTTCTCCAGTTACTTGTCTATGCTTTCCTCTGGGATGGGGTAGAGAATTCCTTTAAGGTTGGTTGATCCTCTCTTAAAGATTATTTGGAACAGATCAGAGACACCCATGGTTGACATAGAGACGTCTCATTCATTTTAATAAGAGCCAGCAGAAACAAGGAGTGTTCATAAAAGTAGAATTAAATACAACCTTTTAATGTCTTCCACACTTTCCAAAAGCGTGGGCGCCTTTAGAATGGTCATTTCCAAGAATCAGAAAGCTAAGAAGTGCTCTCTGGGGTTGCGATGCCATCAGACATCAGGCAGAATAGGGCCCAGAAGATGAGAACTTTAAATCACAGCTAGGCCCATGAGCTCACCGGAGCAGTTCACAGCCTTCTGAGACATTCCAGTGGCCAATTACCCATTGCCTCTTGTCGGCGTTCCACCTGATAATGAGCTATTGCTGGAAGCTCTGGTCCACCCTGCCATCCTCTCCACCTTGTTCACTCACAGTCAGTGAATGGGATATTTTATTGGAATTGTGTGTATGTTTTCCTTAGCTCCCTCTGTCAGACAGTATGATGAGATTGTTACATGCCAGGGGCTTATGGTCAGAGTTCCTTGCTGTTGACTTTCAGGAAACTATTTGGCCTGTGTGAATCTCAGTACACTCACCTAGAACTGGAGTCAAAAATATCTGCATCACTAAATGTGATGTGAAGCACCTGACACAGTACCTTGTTCCTTTTTAAAATTTACTATTTTTATTTTACTTTATGTTACGTATTATTATTATTATTATTGAGATGGAGTTTCACTCTTGTCGCCCAGTCTGGAGTGCAATGGCGCTATCTCTGCTCACTGCAACCTCCACCTTCCAGGTTCAAGTGATTCTCCTGCCTCAGCCTCCTGAGTAGCTGGGATTACAGGCGCCCACCACCATGCCCAGCTAATTTATATATTTTTAGTAGAGACAGGGTTTCACCATGTTGGCCAGGCTGGTCTTGAACTCCTGACCTCAGGTGATCCACCCACCTTGGCCTCCCAAAGTGCTGGGATTACAGATGTGAGCCACCACGCCTGGCCTATTTTCATTTTAATTTTTATTCAGTAAGTATCTCATCATCATCCTTATTACTACTTTCCAATTGGAAATTATAACCTTATATCTGATTGTCACAGTAGAATATTCTATCATCCCAGATTTGAGGGAAGCCTGTTTTCATTAACCTCATCAGTCCTGAGCTTCTTTTAGTTTATCACTTTCAGTTACCGTCTTTTAGTGTACCAGGATTCTACATATAAAGAAAATACTAGTGACAAGACAAGCACTTGAATTAAGAAAGACCTTTAGTTAAATCCCAGTTCCATCATATGCCTGCTGGTTTCATGAGCATCCAATGAGTAAGGCACTCACTGGCCTCTCTTGCCTTCAGTCTCTCCTCCGTAAATTTGGAATCACAGTACTTTACAGAATTAATTTGTAAACAGACCAGATAAGGTCTGTGGCAGTGCCCGGTACAGAGCCCGACATGTAAGTGTTAATGCGTTTGCTGAGAGGATGTAGCTTTTGGAGCTATTATGGTTACTTACTGCTTCAGAAAAGCACCCCCAAAACATAAGAACTTAATCATTTCTTGTGCTCATACATCTGGATTTTGAGTAAGGCTTGGCAGGAAAAGCACATCTCTACTCCATGGGTGGCTGTCAGGTGGGTGATGCAGATTAACTAGAGGACAGAAGATTTGCTTTCAAGGTAGTGCCCACATGCAGCTGAAAAGTTGGTCCTGAATATTGACTGGGAGCTGAACCAGAACCGTGGGCCAGGGTGCTGGTTTCTTTCCACATGGGGCTCTCCCTGGCCTGCTCAAGCTCCCTTATAGCATGGTAGTGGGGCTGCGAGAACACGCATTCTAAGAGAATATGGCAGTAGTATTAGCTATTTTTATAACTCAGCCTTGGAAGACACATCATATCACTTGTTTTGGACTCTATAAGTGAAGGCAGTTGCAAAGGTCGGCTCAGGTCCAAGGGTTGGAAGACAGGTTCCGCCACTCAACAGGAGGAAAGCCAAGATCAGATTCTAAGAGCACGCCGGATGGGAAATATTTTTGCCACTATCTTTGGAAACATGATCTGCCACAGAAGCACTTGTCTGAACTAGCAATGGTCTGGACTGGTGTTCTGTACTTAATGATGGGGCTGCACCAGACACAGTGTTGTCTTTCCGTTGGGTCGCATACTGGCTAAGGCTCTGGAGTCAGACTGCTCATATTCAAAGGCCAACTCTGCCTCTTACCCAGGTGGCCTTAAGGAAATAATTTAACTCCTTGGTTTTAGTCTGTAAAATAGAAACAATAATAGTATATACTCCATTGGGCTGTTGTGAAGAAGCTTATGAGTGTACCTAACACATAGAAAGTGAGTTAACTCTTGTGTTTATTACTCATTACATTTGTCACTGATTTTGATGGTGAGAAAATTATCCTGGTTCTTGGTGAAATAGTGATAGCCTTTCCACAGGACATCTGGAAAATGATTGGAAGAAGGAAGCAGGGATCATGATACATCTCCCCAGCTCTTCTTGTGGTAGATAGAGAAGAATGTGAACGGTACAGTCGGACAGACTTGGGGTACATCCTGGCTCTATTTCTTACCAGCACCATGACTTTGGGAAAGCCGCACTATCTTTCTGACCTTATTTATGTAAGGAGTCCATGTTATTTTGAGCACCAAATTAAATAATGTGCATGATTACGTCATACTGCTCAAATGATAAGCATTTATTGGAATAGAGAAAGGGACCAAAGTTCATTAATAATATGAATCACAAGCACATTCATGGAAGAGCATCCAGGTTAATGAGAACTTGAGGAGAGAGCAAACTTACAAATTATTTTGAAATCTTGAATCCCCCGAAGTGAATTGTCTGAAAGTACACTTGGAACGGACCAAGTAGGACAGGTTCTTTTGGTAGAGTGTGCATCTTGTTCTTTTGGTAGGGTGTGCATCTTGGTAATGGAGCTTTCCCTTATGATAAAGACATAACGAGAAAACCTACATGTGACAAGGATGTGGATTAGAACTGGAGGCAGAGAAATGCATGGCAAAGCCAGCTTATCCTGGGGAAGGGCTGGAAGGAGTTTGCGTGGCAGATCAAAGATGAATTCATGAGGTGAAGAGACTGGATTGTGTGAGAAATAATTTCACTAAAGCTTCATGCTTAGGTACTATAGTATTGTTGGGAAAAACAGGTTCACTGTGTGGGAGTCTCCCTTACTACTTTCCTTCCTAATTGAAACCCTGACCCTGACTGAGAGGGGAAAGGTTGCACTGGGGAACCTGTGCTTTGAGTGCTGATGCGACACCACTTGTAACAGCAGCAGCAATAGTGACCCCTTGATCATTAAAAGGCAAACACCCTCCTCCTACACACACCTGCAGCAAGTCTCTAACCCATGGTTAAGTTGTAAAGGGACCTTTGGCAGAGAATAAACTGAAATCAAAGGAGTTCTGAGAACAGCTGCTTTCCCTAGAGCATCAAAGAAAAAACAAAAGCAGTTGCTTTCTCAGAAGCATGGTGTGATCTAATTACTTGTGTTGACTCCATGTTTTCTATGGTGTTTCATTGTTAGCATATGGTATTACTTCCTGTCATGGGCGCAAGTGTCTTTTGTGCGTTATTGAAGAACTTAACCACGATACGACATTGTTTCCACAGGTGAATTGTTTCCAAGTTTTCACCAACTGAATTAGAAACAAACTTGCTGATCAAATGAATCTCTTCTGATTAGAACTACTTATATTATACAGTGTGTCTAACAGGTAAGATCATCATGATTTGTTTACTGTTCCCAAGTTTTTATGGAAATCTGCAAACATACAGAAAAGTAGAATCATTTAATGAGCACCTGTACCATTTCTCAACATCATGACCCTCTTGTTCTTCTTCCACTATACATGCTCTCCTTTCTCCTAGAGGATTCTTAATGGGCACTGCTGGTCCTCCACCCAGATTCACTTGGATCCTTTGACCATTTCTGCATACCCCTCTTCAGGCTTCGGCGTGCTTCTATCTGCAAAGATCTGCACCTGCAACTCCTCTTCTGAGCCTTGACCTTAGACTCCAGAGCTGCTTTGCTTGGGAAGTACCTGAGAGTTTATGCCTTCCAAGGTGATTTTTAGCCAGTGACGGGTGCACGTGGAAGTGTGAGAGCCCAGCTCCCTTGTTTCAGGGCAAAGCTGCTCTGAGGTGTAACATATGCCAAGCCATCTGATTTCTTCAACAAATATTTGGCAAGCAAAAGAGGTCTTGGCTGTAAGAGCTCTCCATGCTACAGCTTTGACAAATTGCATATTTATGGTTTAGTGGGACGCTTATCCCTTGTCAGTTTTGTACATTGGTAATTAGATATAGAAGTTTCATTGAATTCAGCTCTTTTTTCCTTGTTCTCAAAAAATATCTCATAATTGGGAATCTGTACTTCGCCTTACATCGGAAGGCCCATAATGTCAAGTTCAGGTTTTGCCAGCCTAATCCAGTCATTATAAAATTCACTATCAATCTTTCACCTGGAGGCTTTAGCAGCCAATGGTGAGTGTTAACCACCAATATCGTTTTGTTACATGTTGCCAAATAGTGAATTCCAATTCTATTGCTTCTGCATTTGGTAGCTGGAATTCACCTCTAAAGAACATTCTCTCACTATTTGGTAACCCTGAAATATAATTTGTATAAGAAGTCCTTGATTCTTCTATTTGCAGACTTTTGGAACAATGACTTGGTATCCTAGCAACCTTCAGAGGTGACCAATTAAAGGAGTATTTTTATAGAAAAATTCTTGAAGAATTCTTAGATTGTTACATATTTGATACATTTTAATCCATTGAGGTAATTACTCTTTTTGATGATTAAATTGTGCCATCTTTGGCCATTAAGACTACATTCACATGGGCTCCTGTAGCTTTCTAGCACCATCTCACATACAAAGCATTCCCAGGTCTTGTATAATTTCTTCCCCAGACATGAAGTTAGTCATTTTTCTAAGGAACTTGATTTCCTAGAAATCAAGAAATGATATTTAGAGATACAATCTGGATGCTAACGTTGCAACAGTACTGAGTTGTATTATTTCTACATCTTTTTTCATAGCCAGAAATAGAAAACGCATGTTTATATGGAAAAAAATCTTAAATTCATATTGACATTTCCAATTCAAATGAAAGATTGCAGCATTTTACTTAACTTCTTTGATTTTACATGTCTTTTGTCTTACTCTTGAGAACCTTTACCCCTAACTGCATTAACTGTTTGTTTTTATTCTTAAATATATAACTAATATATTCAAAATGCTAACACTGTTACTGAAAGTAGTTCAAGATTTCTCAGTGGTTCCTTTCATTCTGAGAATTATCTTACTAGCAATGTACAGTCAAGTTACTCCAATTCTGTGTTTAGAAGTCACTTGTACAAATTTTTCTCTGCATTGTTATGCCATCAATTTCATACGTCATATTTAATTTTGTTCCCTAATTTTTGGGATTATGAAATATTTTCCTTTTGTTTATCTAGAGCATTTTCATGACTTCAAAGTCAAAACTATAAAACAAAGCACATTCTTCTTTATTGTTTTTTCTATACCCATAAAGGGTATTTTTACTAGGTTTTAATTTATCTTTTCTTTGTTCTTTTCTTATTGTTAAAAACAAGCAAATAGGTATACTTTTATATACACCAAAAAGTGAATGCACATTTGTTCTGCACCTTGTTTGTTTTTTTCTTTTCTTTTCTTTTTGTGTGTGTTTGTTTGTTTTTGAGACAGTGCAGTGGTGCAATCATAGCTCACTGCAGCCTCAAACTCCTGGGCTCAAGCAATCCTCCCACCTTAGCCTACTGAATAGCTGGGACTACAGGTGTGTTCCACTATGTCTGGCTAATTTAAAAATAAATTTGTAGAGACAGGTTCTTGCTATGTTGCCCAGGCTGGTTTTAAACTCCTGGGCTCAAGTGATCCTCCAGCCTCAGTCTCCCAAAGTGTGGGGAGCTACCATGCCCAACCTTGAATTTTTCACTTAAGTAAGTATCTTTGTAATGGGAACAAAAGGATTTTCCCCTGGAATGTTATTCTTTTTTCTGCTTCTTTCTCTACATAGAGTACTTTCCACTAAGCTGTACAGTCACTTGCTGCATTGAGACCCATTTTGCAAAATTAGTCCCCAGAGGGGTTGACACAAGCCACCAGCCACATGTCTAAGCAGTGTGCTGAGGTGAGCTGAAGACTTGCCGAAACGTGAAGTGTGGTTGATGAGAACTAAGAAACACTAGAAAAGTGGGGGATATGTCTGTGGTCCTTAGAATTGAGGACAATCATTCAAAATCTCACCTGTTTATGTAGGCAGGGATGCAGGGTATTTAACAGCAGGGAGGTCTGTGTCCATTTGTGTTGTTAGAAAGAAATACCTGATGCTGGGTAATTTATAAAGAAAAGAGATTTATTTGGCTCACCGTTCTGCAGGCTGTACAAGAGGCAAGGCACCAACATCTGCTTCTGGTAAGGGGCTCGGGAAGCTTCCACTCATGGTGGAAGGTGAAGGGGAACTGCTGTGTGCAGATCACATGGTGAGAGAGGAGACAGAGGGCTGAGGGGAAGTGCCAGGCTCTTTTGAACAACCAGCTGTCTTGGAAACTAACAGAGCAAGAACTCACTCATTGCCATGAAGATACAACCAACCCACTCATGAGGGATCCACCCACATGACCCAAACACCTTCCATTAGGCCCACCTCCAACTTTGGAATCAAGTTTCAACATGAAGTTTGGGGAACAAATATTCAAACAATAGCACAGAGGCTTTAGAGTCAGACAAACTTGAGCTTCCATTTTCCAATTACTTGACCTTGAACAGAGCATTTTACCTCTCTGACCTGTAAGTTCTTTGTGTAAAAAGTGAGAATGGTTATGAATAACCTAAAATACATTGTGTATATTAAATGTGATAATGTGCGTAAAGCCCCTCACAGACAGCCCTCGTTATTATGGCCATCATTTGATATATACAGTAGTCTTTGCAGCAAGGACCAGAGAAAATCTTATGAGGGTGCCCCCACAGTGGCCTCCAGTCTAGAGATAGTCCCAGGGATGGCTCAGTTGGATGAGTTGCTTAAAAGGATGGCTAAAGAGCAGCATGTGGTGGTAGGAAGAAGCAAAGAAACAGAGCCTGACAGAGCAGCAGGGCCGTAAGCAGGAAGCCAGGAGGAATGAGAGCACATGGAAAGTGTTTTTCAAAAGCTTTGAGGCCAGCAGATTGGGACTGGAGCTAAGAATAATGCCAGAGTGTTGGGAGGGGTAGGGTGTGAGTGGCTTCTCTGCAGTGCAGGCTTGGTGTTATAGCGATAAGTTGGAAGGCTTAATTCATCTGCACAGTATCAGGGAGCAGGGGCAAAGTATTCCCCATCAAATTCCATGATTGCCTCAAATAGGTTCACGGAAAAAAATCACCCATAGAGAATAAACAGAAAAAAGGAATATAGTGGGAAGTAGCTCCCACAATCTACAGGGGATGTTATATGGGAAACCAGTTTTGGTGTCAGGAAGAAATGCAAAAAATCTAGTAGTCCAGAGGCTGGGAGGAAACCTGCAACATATCCAGAAACAGCTGCTGATGCAATATAACATACAAGGTATGCTAAAATCTATGTGCCCCCACACAGGGTGGATAGAACCAATTCCCAACCCCGAGGGACTTTGGCATACATGGAATTTTACCTGCTCAGCACCCACCTCCCTTTAACTGGCTGTGAGCAAAGGGACCATATATCATGGGTCTAGAAAATAAACCACAAGTGACATTCCTGCCAAGGAGGCAAATAGAATGGAGCAATGCACACTAAAGTGTATCTCTGGATTTGTTCTTTCTCTCCCAGAGATTTTCAGTCTTGAAAAATCTCTCACTGACCCTGCTATCCACGCCTATTTCTCTTCTTCATTTTAAATGCTAAGCTTTCCCCAAAGCACAATTCTGATTCCTTAAGTGAAGCACTAAATCATTAAATACTTGATCTTAGTAAAGTAAAAACCATCATTTATTTTAAATGGTTCTTTCCATATTTCCATTTTCATCAATAACAGTCCATATATTTGTAGTATACAAATAGGTAGTACATTTGATATGCTAAGAAAGGACCTTAGTTGATCAAGGATTTAGTGGTCTTTACTTGGGGCACCTTCTCACCTTAATGCTTGTTGCCTTCTCTGTCTGCATAGTTTCAACTAATTATATACATATATATATGTATGTGTGTATATATATATACACACACAGGTGTACATATATATATAGGCTATCAGGTCCTACAAAGTCTTCCCTGACCTTACTGGGTAAAATTAAACTCCTTTTTGTTCTATATCTCATAAAACTTTATTTATTCATACCTATATTTTTTAACTAATCATATTTCTTTAATTATTTATTCACAAGTCTCTCTTTCAAACTATAAGAATTAAAGAAAGAGGAAAGAAGCACAAAAAGGTGGCTTGCCAGTCAGGACAGATTTATTTTAGAAAAAACAAACCTGAGAGGGGCTTCTGGCCGACTTAGGTGAGAGGCATGCTCTCTTACAGACTGAGTTTTTAGGGATTCGGGGTGGGAGAGTTTATCAGAAGCTTGGACTGCTTCTGTGTCTCTTTGTTGTGCTTATCTGGGAGGGAGAGTTGTGTGTCTGTTCCCATACATCTTTCTGCAGATGCAGGCATACCCCACCTGAGTCTGCTTTTAGCTTCCCTATCTTAGTGCACCTGAAGGGAAAGGAATGTGCTTATTAAGGCCCACTGTTTTACTGGGGCCCATTGTATGAAGGTGAAGTTTGGCAGTTACCCAAAAGACTTTCCCCCAACCTCTCTCTGTGCCCGAGCTGTCTTATCTGTGTTTTCCTGTCTACTCTTTCTGGCTGCTTGAAGAGAAGTGATTTCCTTGAAATGCATGAGGCTAGAAAGGGAGCTGGAACTTAAAAGTGGTGGTGTTTGTCGAAGATGACGATGCTCCTGGTCTATCACCAACTGAGCTCATGGAAAAACTGCATGCCATTAACTTTATGTTCCCAATACCTAGCAATAGTAGGTAGTCATCAAGCGGTTACTGAACGGGTTCATGCATGCAGGCCAAAACTCAAGCAATCCAGAAATTCATTTTCTCTAAACTCACCAAATTATGATCAAGTGAAGGCAAAAAAAGAGAATTATAGACAAACCAACCAGAGAGCCCCTTTAATTTGATAAATCAAGCACAATCACAGTAGACCTAACTTCAGTTGACTCTGTATCTTGCATGTCATTTATGTAATAAGAATCTATATATCATTTCTGCTCAAGCATCCATCTGGTGCATCATTTGTAAGCATAGAGATGCTGAAATATTATTCTGGTCTGCAGAGAAAAGTCACTGAGCATAGATATACTTGTAGGGGAAATTCAAATGTCTGGTATGAGTCAATTGACAAAGACCATCTGCTTCCCAGACCAACAGAGAGGGTCCAATACAGAAACACAAAAAGGAAGAAAGATAAGGCAGACACATCAAATGAGCCCACACATTAGGAAACCCAAACTAATATAAATTTATGAAACAAAAGTGCTGGCCAGGTGCAGTGGCTCACGCCTGTAATCCCAGAACTTTGGGAGGCCGAGGCGGGTGGATCGCCTGAGGTCAGGAGTTCGAGACCAGCCTGGTCAACATGGTGAAACCCCATCTCTACTAAAAAATACAAAAAAAAATTAGCCAGGCGTGGTGGCGGGCACCTGTAATTCCAGCTACTCGGGAGACTGAGGCAGGAGAATCGCTTGAACCCAGGAGGCAGAGGTTGCAGTGAGCTGAGATCATGCCATTGCACTCCAGCCTGGGTGACCAGAGCGAAACTCTATCTCAAAACAAAACAAAACAAAACAAAAGTGCCTTCACTTACTTGCATTTAGAAGTATTACCAAATTCTCTAGGAAAGTTTAGATGATTGAAAATGAATACCATAGATTTTTCTTGGTTTCTGTGTGTCCCCAGATTCTCCAAGTTGTCTAACCAAGACAGTTGTGAACAACCCAGGCTCCTGTGTCAGCCCAGGTTCTGCCTGTGTGTGACAGGAAGGAAAGCCTATTGACTTCTCTCACCCTCAGTCTCCTGACCTCAAGGTTAAGGTGCGACCATTTTAAGGGGTTACTTTGTGAAACTTGAAAGAAAGAGAGCAAGGTAAAGGCAGAAACAAAGTGTGTTGTTCAACATTCATGCCACTGCCTAACATATTCCTGAGACCCAGCAGCCAAGGGGCAAGTCTGAGGGAAAGAGTCACTGAATTGGCACAGTTGAAAATGGTGAAAGACCAACGAAATGAGAGCACCCTCATCTGGGCATCATCTTGTTGGAGGGTAAAAAAAGAAAAAAGTTGTAGAGAAAATACAGTGATGAGAACAATTCCCCACTTCAAGCACCAGATGGTACCATTGACCCAGAGCATCCAAACTTAGAATCTGGTAAGAAGGGAGAAAGAGTTGCCCTGAGTGAATCAGAGTGGGAATGTATTTTGGTATCTGGAAATTTACATGAATAGGCTATCTGTAAGTTGCATTTTTTGTTATTTCTTTTTTCAACTTGGGGAAAGACTCTTGGGAATATTGCAGTGGTGCTTGAGACAGAGAGAAAGACCACACCTCTCCAGGAAAAACAAATATTTCTGAAGCAGTGTAACTGAATAGTTTGTAGCCCAGAGAACTTTATCTGCACGAAGAGTGGCTGGCATTTTACCTCCTGGCAAAAGACTACCTGCTTTTCCAAAAAGAGAAATGGTGGCCGATTTGGTCTGCCAAATCTGGACCATAAAATTGGAAACACTGGACCAAGCGTCAAAATTCAAGTGACCTTTTTTACTAATACCTAAAGTGACTCCATTAACATACAGTTTTAAATAGAAAACTCAAAGAGTTGACTCATACTATGTAACTACATTTAGAAGGAGTTGACAGAAGTACAGTAACAGATCATATATTCAGAAAATTGCAATACACTAATATAACCTCAGTATGCAGTGGTCTGGAAAACAATCTTAGTTCAATGATTCATCATCACTTAGTTGCTAAATAACTAACAAAAGGAGGTGAGGAGGAATTGAGCTGTAACATTTTTCTGTTTCCCACATAGGATAGGAGCAGAAGTAACAGGCAGTGAATTTGCAGTATTAAGGTAAGCTGCCCCTGTGTTAATATCTACAGATCTAATCGAGGCTCCAGCTGATTTAGGAGTGAAGAAGAAATCACTTAGGCAGACAGTAAGGGTATGGGAATCCTCAGTAACGCTATTCTTTTTAATGAAAAGCAGCCCCAAATCATTTTCTAACAAAGAGCAGCCCGTAAAGTCGAGCTGCAGACATAGACAAGCAAGCTGGGAGCTTGCATGGGTGAATGCCAGCAGGAACTAAGAACTAGACATGTTCAAGATGGTGGCTCCATCTTCCCTTTGTCAACCACGTGTACAGTAAGAGGCAGACAAGATGTCCCCAATCAACTGGAAAGCCCATTTGTGTAATAAGATTAGGGTGGGGTGAACAGGCTTCCCCGTGCACTATGTAAACGTCATTGGACCAATCTGTGAGCCCTACGTAAATCAGACACCGCCTCCTCAAACCTGACTATAAAATTCAGCATATCCACCACCCACTGGTCCTTTCTGCTCGGAGAACCCATTGTCTATAGAGAAAGCTATTTCTCCTTCTCTTATCTTCTGCCTATTAAACCTCCACTCCTAAACTCATGTGTGTCTGTGCTCTAAATTTTCCTGTCACCTGACAATGAACCCCAGGGCATATACCCCAGACAATGTAGCCGCTTCACAGCTACTCAGGTCTCCCAACCATCTTCTCCCTCTATGTTTGAAAGTAACTTTCAAAATTGAGTTATAATTTTAGGAAAGTTAATAAATAAAATGTATCATAAAATTACCAAATCTTAGAAGCCTGATGAGTTTTTAAGTAAAATGTCCAGTCGTGTGACCACCAGACAGATAAAGACTAGAATAGTTCTCTTCTATATCTTTACAGACACAGGCTCCCTACACTCCACACCTAGTCAGCATCCTGCCCCTGAAGTTAACGACCATTCTGACTTCCATCACCATAGTTTTGACTGTATTTGAGAATCATACACGGAATCATACGCTATGTGATGTTTTATCTCTGACTCATTTCACTCCACATAGTTGTGAGATTCATCCATGTTATTATGTTTATCAGTAGGTTTTTTACATTGCTGTGTGTAGTTGTACTGTATAAATACAACACAACTTATTTCTCTATTACAGTTTTGATGGAAAGTTGGGTTACTTCCATATGTAGACAATTATGGCCTGGGGGCAGTGGCTCATGTCTGTGATCCCAATGTTTTAGGAAGCCAATGCAGGCAGATCACTAGAGCCCAGGAGTTTGAGACCAGCCTGGGCGATATCGTGAAACCCTGTCCCTACAAAAAATATAAAAATTAGCTGGGCATGATTGGGAGGCTGAGGTGGGAGGGTCACTTAAACCCAGGAGGTCAAGGCCGCAGTGAGCCATGATCGTACCACTGCACTCCAGCCTCAGAGACACAGTGAGACCCTGTCTCAAAATGTTTTTAGACAGTTACGAATAAAGCTTCTCTCATCATCCTTGAACATGTCTTTTAGTGAACGTTAAGTATTCGTTTCTGCTGAGTAGGACTGTTGGGTCATAGCGTAGAAATGTATTCAGCTTTGATAGGTGCTGAAAAACAGTTTTGTAAAGTGGTTGTAGCAATTAAATACTCCCTCTGATAGTATGAGTGAGTTCCAGTTGTTTAGAGTCTCACCAACACCAGGTATCAACAGCTTTTTGATGTTAGCCTTTCTAGTAGAAAGACTAACATTTCTGATAATGTGATGTTATCACACTGTGGTTTTAGTATCTGTTTTTACTAATCACTAACAATGTTGAACATCTCTCTATGTATTGAGGGGGTGGGATTCAGATATGTTACCTTGAGAAGTCTATTCAAGCCTTTTACCCATTTTAGGGGCTATCTTTTTATAATTGATTTGTAGGAGTTTTAAAAAATATATTCTGGATATGGGTCCTGTTTTGGATGTATTTATCACAAGCATCTTCTCTGGGAATTGCCAATTCACTCCAGTAATAGTGCCTTTTAATAAATTTTAAAGAAATCTCTATCAATATTTTCTTTTATGGTTAGCGCATCTCATGCCCTGTTTAAAACTTTTTTGCTTATTCCAGTATCATGAAACTATTTTCCCTTGTTTGCTTCTAAAGCGTAATTGCTTTAGGTCACAATCTATACTCCACCTTAAAATATTTTTCTCTGTGGTAAATGTAAGAATCAAAGTTCACTTTTTAAATACAGGTATCAAATCAACATCAACTTAGCATAAACCATTGAGAAGATTCTGTGTTCCTCACTAAGCCTAGTATGGTGAGCCATTTAGTCCAAAATATATTTTTAGTTTTATTTTAAAGCTTCTACTCTTTTTAATCATGAATTCATTTTGAATTTTATACTTTTTCTATATCTATTTACATAGTCATGTGGTTTTAATTTTTATTAAGTTATAATAAATTATATTTTTTGATTTTCAAATACTAAAGCAAGCTTACTGTGATACAGGAAAAATCTATACCAATACTCTTTTTCTCTATACCAACATTCAATACTTCTGTGACCAGGTGTGTGGGTTTTCTCCCACACTGACCAATTTTCCAATGCCAGCGGGGTGCCCTGCAACTCAGTTCAATTATAACACTAACCAAAGTTAGTAGACAACCTAGAGGTTTGGGGCTCAGTCCCGCAAGACTGTCACCAGCTTTGGGTATCAATTGCCAGTAGTAGGTTCCCAGTGTTAAATCAAGTTTAGCCCAAAGCTGCCTCCTTACATATTCTAAGTTTGGCCTAAAGGTTTCTCTGTACATTGTGACCTATAACAAGTGGAGGTGTAAACAGATTGTAGCCTACTCTTGTGCTAATCACCACGTTTTGGCCAATCAAATGTGCCCAACTGTTTGAACCATGTTTAAATAAGGCAAACACAGAGCTATACCCAATCCCGTTTCTGTACCTCTCTTCTGTTTTCTGTCCATCACTTTCCCTTTTCTGTCCATAAATCTTCTTCCACCATGTGGCTGAGCTGGAGTCCCTGGGCCTACTCTGGCTTGGGAGGCTATCCAATTCGCAAATCATGCATTGCTCAATTAATCGCTTTTAATTTTAATTCAGCTGAAGTTTTTCTTTCATCATCAGCTTACTCACAATTTCTGTCTAATTCGCTACAAATCAGAGGTTCCCATAACCCCTTTCTCTGCTTTACTAATTTGCCAGAGCAGTCCACAGAACCCAGGAAAACCATTTACTTACTATTGCCAGTATATTACAAATGATATTTCAAAGGATAGCAATGAACGGCCAGATGAAGTGATACGCGGGGGAAGGTCTGGATAACTCCTGAGCGCAGGAGCTTCCGTCCTGTGGAGCTGGGGTGCACCTTCCTCTGGGTGCATGGATGACCTCACCAACCCAGAAGCTCATTGAAAGTTATAGTTTAGGGATTTTTACAGAGGCTTCATTATGTAGGCATGCACAATTAACTCAATCTCCAGCCCTTCTCCCCTTCCCAGAGGTTGAGGAGTGGGGATGAACATTCCAAGTTTCTAATTATGAGTAGCCCCAGCCAGGATCCCACGAAGGGTCCCCTCATTAGAACAAAAGTTCTCCTATTATGCAGGAAATTCCAAGGAATTAAGAGCTCCATGTCAGGAACCAGGGTCAAAGACCAAATATTAGAACAAAAGATGAACCTAGCACCCCTATTGATCAGGAAATTACAAGGGTTTTAGGAGTTCTGTGCCAAGAACAGAGGGCAGAGACTATCTATCTCTCTGTCTATATCTGTAACTATATTTTTAATTATGTTACACTTAAATTCTTAGGATAAACTAAGTTTAGTCATAGAACATTAACCCATTTATACACTGCTGGATTTGGTTTGCTAATATTTTGCTTAGGAATTTTGCAAATATCCCTATAATAATAGCCTGTAATGCTTCTTTCTCATATTGATCTTTTTGGTTTAGTATCAAGGTTATTCTAGCTTCATAAAATGAATTGGAGGAGAGTCTATACTCTTTCTCAATCCTCTCGAAGGACTTACGTATGATTGGCACTATGTATTTCATAATTATTTCATCAGACTCACCAGTGACACTGTCTGGAAATCGAGTGTTTGGATTCTCATGGATAGGCAGTAAGAGTGTATTGATTGTGAAATCACAAGAAATAAAAGAGATGCATATATACATACACATATACATATATATATATACATATATATACACACATATATATACACACATTACATTATATATATATATAGACAGAGAGAGAGTGTGTGTGTGTATGTGTGTGTGTGAGAGAGAGAGAGAGAGAGAGACAGAGAGATTGACAGAGACAGAGAGAGAAATTTTGAGGTCTGGTAGGAAGAAACCTAACATGAGTCACTTTGGTAGATATTCACAGCCTGTTAACAGTTCCTTCCCAGAGGAAACCAAGGGCCTTTTACACAGTTGCTATGCACCAAGAAAAGGAACTACAAAGACCTTCTAGGGGCTGTTAGAAATGGATTCTGAACTGCTGCTCATGTTCAGAGACATCAATGATATGGTGTCCACCAGTCAGATAGGGGTTGATAGACATCAGGTGATAGACGGGGTTTTAGCACAATCCTAATGGGACTGAAGACCCAGAACAAATAATGAAAATAGATGTACTTAGCAATGGATGCAACATCCACATTGGTTTTCTGACATGAGGAGTGGGGGCCGTTCTGGTAGGAAGGACGAAACTAGGTCTACCCCTCTTGCTAAAATAGGAAACCAAAAGCAGAAATTCATCCCTGGGGAGAGGCAGAGACTAGATTAGCACAGCTATCAAAGACTTGAGGGATGCACAGGGTTAGGATTCTTACCATGAATGTTTTGATTTGTCTACATTACTGGTATAAAAGCCAGATGGGCTTTAGCAAATGACAGCAGATTATTACAAGCTAATTCAGGTGCTAAGGCTGATCATAGCAACAGTTTCAGATGCGGTGTCTTTACTGAAGGAAATCCACACTTCTCCTGCTACCTGGTGTGCAGTTAATGACTTGACAAGTGCTTTATTCTCCACTCCAAACAAAAGGAGTTTGTATTTATATGGCAGGGACAATTTACCTTTACGGTATTCATGGCTGTGTAAAACTTTACTATATTGTCTCATGGCTGGGTAAGTTCTCTCATTCTCTCTCCCAAGAGGATCCAGAGGAAGCTTTTTCACCCCAATAGCTCACAGAATATGATGATTGTTATATAGATCAAATGATGCTAATTGGATCTGGTGACCAAAAAGTATAAAGCACTCTAGATGCCTCAGCAAAACATGTGAAGCCAGAAGATAGGAAACAGACTTTTAGAAAGTTTAGGGGCCTGCCATAATGATAAAAGTCTATTTCTATATTGACTCTATAGACAACAGTCTATTGATCTATAGAAAGTTGACATTTTCCTCTTAAAGTGAGAAAAGGTGCTGAAACTTGCTCCACCCATGATTACAAAAAAGAACCAATGTGTTGGCTTTTGGAGGTCACATATGCTATCTTTTGTTATGTTTCACTAGATACTCCATAAAATCCTTGTATCAATACCACCATTTGTGGGTTAATATAATGCCTTACCCATTGCCATGGATTGCCACTCCACATCATTTCCATCCAGAAAACATGTTTTTCTTTTTTTTTTTTTTTTTTTTGAGACGAGTCTCGCTCTGTCGCCCAGGCTGGAGTGCAGTGGCGTGATCTTGGCTCACTGCAACGTCTGCCTCCCAGGTTCAAGTGATTCTCCTGCCTCAACCTCCCGAGTAGCTGGGATTATAGGCGCCCACCACCATGCCCAGGTAATTTTTGTATTTTTAGTAGAGATGGGGTTTCACCAGGTTGGCCAGGCTGATCTCAAACTCCTGGCCTCAGGTGATCCACTTGCCTTGGCCTCCCAAAGCGCTGGGATTACAGGCGTGAGCCACCGCACCTTGGCCCAGAAAACATATTTTATAACAAAATAAATGCAGGCATAGGCTCATGCCTACAGGATGCTCTGTCTTATGTGCACTCACACGCAGAAGCAGCTTGCTCAACAGAATAGTGGAATGCCCTGCTGAAGGTTCTGTTATAGTGCTAGCCTGGAGACACCAGCTTTCAAGGTTGGAACGCTGTCCTGCAGAATATGGTATATGCCTTAAACCAATGGCCAATATATGGCACTGTCTCCCCCTACAGCAAAAATGCACATGTTTGCGAATCAAAGGACAGAGGTAGGAGTGAGATCTCATAACTAACTTGAAGAATTTTTGCTTCCTGTTCCTGCAAGCTTGAGCTCAGTGGGTTTGGAAATCCTAGTACCAAAGAAGGGAATGCTTCCACCAGGCAACATGGTGATAGTTGTAATTCACTAAAAAAAAAAAATGCCAAATTGGAGATTTCATGGTACTGAACCATCAGGGAAGAGCACAGTGTACACAGTGGACTTATTAACGGGGAAAACTTGAGCTGCTGCTACTCATCGGAGGTCAGGAAATCTGTATCTATGACTCAGAGTATTCACTGGGGCCCATCCAGCTGAGGCGCTGGCAAGAGAAAGGGGAAATGGAGCAGACAGTAGAAGATGACAAATACATGATCCTCAAGTTAGACCATAAAATCAACAACCAAACTGGGGACTATGGCAGCTATGTTTATTACTTATTTCATTTCCCCATTTTCCTTCACTATCCTGTAGTAGAACCTGATAGTGGCTAATGTTTAAAGTTTCAGGTGAAAGTAAAACTGAGTTTATAGCATCCCTTGATGCTATCGTAGCTGGCAGGACTTCACTTGTCCCCTGTGATGAATACAAAATCTTTTCAGCCAGGTTAAGGCAAGAGTAGATGTTGAAGGAAATGGTGTGAGTAGTGACAGACATATTCCATTTGCCTTCCATCCATGCCCCCACGCCTTGCCACTCTGCTCCCTGCTGACCTGGATGAGCTACTACTTCCATCTTACAGAAACTTCATTGGCCTTTGGTTCCTGATTTGTTTTGGCCACAGGGAGCCCCAGCAGGAGAGAGAAGGATAGAAGAGAACGAGGTAGACTCCCTCCCTGCATAGCTGCTTCTTTCTAGATCCGCCTCTCTACACCACCCTCTCCTTTATACTCCATGGACCAAACCCTCCCCTCATCCCTTTGGGCCAATTGGTGATAACAGCTCCGCTGTTACTAGACACAGTGTACTTCCGTCTTCCTTGTAGCCTCTCCTATTCTAATTTGAGGGCATCGTCTTCCTGCTGGGACCCTGACTGCTAGAGGTCGTTTATCTATATTCTCCTTTCTCCTTCCACCCACATGCCTGCAAAACAATGACTCCAATGATCCTAAATGATTCCCTTCTCCCTTCTTTCTTTTGGAGCACATAGCAAGGAATCTTTTTATTCAGTTTAATTTCTTGTAAGAGAAAGGAGGTACTACTCTATCTTATGCTTTTTGCCCAACAAAATCCTACAGGCAGGGAATTATAAGGGCCTTGCTCTCTACTTAGACGAAGTGGGGAGGGAAGGAAGAATCAATACAAATAAATACCTTAAAAATATATCCTGTTATAAGCTTCCCTGGCTGACAATCTGCCTGCTTCCAACCTGGACATGAATGTTCTGCCCCCACTCAGCGGCCTCATCCACAGCCCATTTGGCAGTAAAAACCGAATCAAAGGAGGGCAGATGCATTTCATTGCTATGTCAGCCCTAATTGATTGGCTCCTGATACATGGTATTGGGAACAATTCTGAGGCCTCATCCCAGCTCAGCAGGAAAGAGTACTGTAATCAATTAGGGATGCCTATCCTGGGAGGTGACCAGAGGTACAGCAGCCAGAGCTATGTGTTTATTATTCCCCATCTAATCTCTCCCTCCATCTCAGCAGCAACCCCTTTCTTGGCTAGTTAACCCTCAGGTGTTCAAGAGGCCATTTCTCTCATAGGGAGAGGTCAAACTGGGTGCTAGGGCAAGAGCTGTAGCTTTCAAATTATAATACCCTTTTCTATGTTAAGAGTGGTTGTTCCGTACAGGTTTCTGCTAATACTGGCTGAATAGACATTGATGGATGATGATTCTGTATCATCTCACAGTCCTGCTATGTCTTCAGAGCTTTCTTCCTTTAGCCTTTTTAAAAATAAATATGCCACCAAAGTTTATGCTAACAGAAGGGTTTCAATATTAAATAATGACTCATTGAAGAATGAAATGGAGATATTTTTTACCCTCCTTTCAGCAATTGTTCTGCATATCTTTCCCCAGGTCCTCAAAGTCAGATTCAAGGACATCTCCATGTTTTGTTGTGTCTACCTCTAGTTCTGGCCCTATTCTTGAAATAAAGAAGGAGCCCACAGCCTCTGCCTGCCAATCACTGAAACTCAGCATTGGCAATCTGGCATATCTTGTTTAACACTGAGCTGCTACGTCGGTTTCTCAACAGACTCACGGCCCTGTGTTTTGGTTGCTGTGATGATGAGCCTTGATTCTTGGGACTGGGTTTCTGCTTCATTCCTTCCACCATCGCTGAGAATGAGGCTTTGAGCTCCTTGCAGGAAGGAGCCTTCCTACTCCTTAAAAATCCTCTCAAGTGATGACTCTCCACTGCAAATCCCCTTCTCCGCAATCTCCTCACCTCCAGCGGGCTCTGCCATATCATTTTTGTAGCCCTCCCCACCCATGGATGGCTGTTAGATGTGCCTTAGCTTTCATTCTTACCTATATTGCTGCCTCTTCTTAGGGTCAGTTCCACTGACCTATGTCTAAATCTGGGTGGGTAAGTCCCATAATTGGCACACACTCTATTCTCCGCCTCTACCTCCACATTGCTGTTGTGGAGTCGTGAAGATGTGCACAACCTGAAACTTCAGAGCAGGATTTGCCTTTAGATGCCAGACAGCTCACATAAATGAGCACCACTGATCAGGTGGGAACTGTGTAAACCAGAGAACAGATGTCCACTGAAAGAGAGGCATACACAGCTCAACCTTTGCCACTGGAAGCCAAAAATCCAGATTATGTGGAGCCTCTCAAATCATTAATACTGTCAACTAATTCACAGGTTTCTTAACAATGTTCTAATCCACATGGCATTGGTTTGTGAGTTCTACTCTATAGCGAAAAGGTGAAAGGTAATTTTCTAGTAATAACAACTAATGTTCATCTTCCTACATTCCAGCTTACCAATTCTTTCAAATGACTTGAGCAGTTTGCACATAGTGGAGAGCTCATCAAGAATTTCTCTATATATGAAGGAGAACATATTTGGAAAAAAAGTTTTTCTTGGCTGGATAGCATTAAACATTAATTCAAAATAAAACTATTTCAAGCCACATTTATTCCCTAAGAAATGAGATGAAAAGAAACCAAATGAATCAGCCAGATGATTCCAGCTCTTTAATCACCAGCATCACTATTGCTAATTGAATCTTCAATGCATATTGGCTTCACTCCCTGAGGTGCACTAAAACAAATATTTAACACTTGTCTCCTTAAGATGAAATACTTCACACGGATGAAATATTTCACGTTTGAAATTAAAAGTACCCATAAAATTGCAGCAAAGGCAGACTATGGCATCTAAATAGAGGACTGCAACCTTGTAGTGGAGAAAATAACATTATTCATTGGATCATTGAGGATCAGAACCAGAAGCGTTCTTATGACTACCGGTTTCCCAATGAAATTTACAAAGCCTAGCTGTCAGTGTTCTTAACCAACATAATGAAGGTAATACCTACGCATTACCTTGAACCTATCTCTTGCTGCTTTTATTATGGAATCAGATTTTTGATGCTGATTGGGTTGTAACGGTCAACTGTTTTGACCAGATGTCAAAATAACCAGATGTTCCCGTTAATTGGTTGGCAATTGACCTGAATTTTTTGATGTAGTTGATTCATTGTTGCATTTTGATTTGGTTTCCAAGGTAGAGAGTTGACAGTGAGTGAAATATTCAGCATTTGTGAAAAGTGTCCCTGGGCCCTTTCCAGCTATAGAGTCTTAAATTTCATCTTTTCATATTCATAGAAGAAAAGAGTGTGGAAAAGCTAAGTTCGGGCACAAAATAAGCCAAATTGTAGTGAGCTAATTCCCTTGCGAAGTACGCCTGTAAATGAATATTAATCAGAACAGGAAGTGACTGTGAAAAAGCAAGGATCCATCTTTAAAGTTCAGCTGAACTCTTTAAAACAACATTTTATTCAAAAATGTAACTAAGAACATATCGCATATATATACATACACATAAATTAACTTTAGAAGACACATTTTGCCTCACTGTACTGCAATTATATGTTGTATTGTCTGTGATTAAAACAGGTCCTATAATATAACAAAAATGTTTTCAAAATTATATTTCAAGAAATAAATGTTGCCCCATTGTAATAACAGATTTGTGCAGTATTGGTCCTGGTTGAAACAAACCTAAATTTAACATTTTTTCAAAGGGAAAAATTAAAGACAAATTTTAATAATATTAAAATGTGGGAAAACGTTAAAGCTATAAAAATATAATGACCACTAGGGAGATGTAGAGACCCAGTGAAGATGTCACTTGTTTTAAAAAAATTAAAAATAAAGTGAAGCATGGTTTGATGTTTTACTCTTGCTTTTTCTTTTTGATTTCTGGTTTATTCATTCCAAACATTATTAATTCCCAAAAAAACACCTGCCTGCTTTTCTAAGGGTGATCCAGAGTTCAACAGCATTGATATTCCACTCAGAGCTTGTTAGAAATGCTGACACCACCCCGCCAAAGCCCCCCCAACTCTGCCCCAACAGCTGAATCGGAATCTGATTTTACATCTTCAGGTGATGTGTATGCACATTAAACTTTGAGAAGCACTATTCTACAGGGCACTAAAACAAAAATTAAAAGTAAGAGTGATTCCTGACCTTGAATAAGTCATAGTAGATCAAGTGAACAGGTAATTATGGAACAAGTATCAAAGTACGTACAAAGCACTTTGGGGACACAGAGGAGAAAGTGTGTACTTTAATGGAGGCAATGATTTAAAAGGTAGAGAAATCAGAGTTGGATCTTGAAGACCAAGTAGAGTGAAAAGCATTCCCAGCAGAGAGGGCATGTGACAGGTTAGGGAATGGCAGCCCTTTTCATAGAGTGGACTGGTAATAATTTGAACCAAGAGGCTGTGATGGGCGAGTAAGGCAGGATAGCAACCATTGCAGAGACCTGGCAATGGAATATGAACTTTGTCCTTGGAACAATGAGGAGAAATCAGAGTTTTGAAGAAGGGGCTTGACTTTATCACAATTCTCTTTCAGAAACGTGTGCAGTGTATGCAGGCCACAAAAGATGAGGAAGCTACCAGTGAGTACGCTGTTGCCAGGCGTGTATTTAGGAGCTAGGAAGGATTTAAAAGACCAGTGGAGGACAGGATTGATTGGGTGTGATTTTTGACCCCTGAGGTCCATTTAACCAGGGTATCTTTAATACCTATAGAACTCTGAAGTGATGGATATTCAATAAATGGCTTTAGAGTTTTTACATCCTCCAAATACTCACAAAGAAATTCATTTATGCCATGTGTACACACTGCCTCGAAGGAAGTTTTACAGTCTTTCTCAAATAAATTCAGAGTCAATTTTTACCAGTTTTATAAGAGGATTATATTTTTCACAAAGATCATCCCCATTATTTCTTGGTTCAGTTCCATTACATTCAACGCACATGAGCTGAATCAGACGATTCTCCTCTAGGTGTTTTTTCTTTATCACCAGGCAGGATCTAGCCCATTTAGCAAGAAGCAAAAGAGAACCAAACACCATTGTATTCCAACAATAAAAAGGACATCAGAGTCCATCCATATAGAAACAAAGTAAGCAACAAAAATGAGCAACAAAAAGTTTTAAATAAGGCTAATTCTCACTGGCTTAGACTTTCTATCCTAGAAAGATTAAGTAATTAATCAGTAAGTCAGCATACCTTTATTGAGGTTGCCTATGTGGCCTTTGCACAGTCATAGATATTGATAGAAAAAGAAGTAAAGATGCTATTCTATAATAAAGTATGGATTATAGACACGTGTATATAACCACTCTTGGAAGTAAAGATTCAGGCTCTGGAACCAGACTAGGTTCAAATTCTTACTGACTCTGTGACCTTTGGCAAATTATTTAAACTTTCTAAATCTCAAGTTCTTTACCTAAGGTTATTACCTGTAAATAATAATAGTAGCCTATCTCACAGGTTGTTTTAACTATTAAATGATGTAAAACACGTGAAACTCTTAGGATGGTGCTTGACCTACAACAAGAGCTCGGTCAATGTTAGCTTTTACGATCCTTATTAGGATACCCACTGAGACCATAGGGGAAGACCTGCCAATTCCAACAGAAAGGTTAGAGAGTGGCATTTGAACCAAGCCTTGAAAGTTAACCAGACAGTCTTCCAGAGAACAAAGTAAGAGGAAGAAGGCGAGTGGGAAGAAGCAGCAGCAATGTAAGCAACAGCTGGGAGGTGTGTTTTAGGACATTATGTGTTGAATGGTCTAGGAATATAGGGGAGAACTGCAACAGTCCAAGGGGATAAGGGTGAGGGGCTTAGCTAGGGCCAATGAACAGGGAATGAAGACGAGGGAATGTACTGTAAAGAACAGTAAAGTCACAGGTCTTGTGCACCCTAGCTATGGTGGGTAAGGTCAGTGGAGGCCTCATGGCGACTCCCTCTCAAATTTCCCACGTGGGTAGGTGGGGATCCTGTTAACTAAGACTGGGAATACAGAAGGAGGCAGATTTCAAGACATGACGGTAAATTTAGTTTTAGTCGTAGTGATTTTAGGACCATGTGAGACATTCAGATGGAAATGACCAACAGCAGTCGTATGAAGTGGTGGCACATCATATGGGCTCAGTGAACATTTGCTAAATAAACCATAGCACACGAGAGAACGATCTAAGCTGGAGACAGACTTCATCTCAACAATGTAAATGCATGCACAGATTATTTTTATTGTTTTACAAGTATCTGTGAACATTCTTTAAAACAATAACTCATTGATTTTTCAAAATAAAAATAACTATTGTTTTTGCTAATTATAAAAGCAATATATACCTATTGTATACATATTCGACAGTAAATTAAAGAACAGTGAGAAAATATGAGAAAATACAGTAAATTTTGAAGAACAATGAGAAAAATCACCAGTAACCCAATCCCATTACCATTATGACTCATATTCTGTTTTATAACTTTTCAGACTTTTATGATGAAATTTACATACACACATTTTTATAAGATTTAGTCATAGTATCTATAATGTTTTGTACCCTGACTTTTCTATTAGCAACTTAGAGATAACTATCTATGACTCTATAAATAAATATGACTGTTTCAGCAGCTGCCTTGTATATCACTGTACATATGTCCCATAATTGCACCCATATCCCATTTTACAGATACCCCGTAAAAAGGGAGTCCCCTCTTTCTTGATATTACAACCAATACAGCGAGACCCTTGGAAATATATAATGATTCACATGTCTGGCTGTTTCCTTAGGATAATGTCCTAGGGTAAATTCCTAGAAATGAAATTTCTGGTTTAAAGGAAATGCTCACTTAAAATCGGACAGCATGCCAAATTGTCGTCCAAAAGTATTTACTAATTTACCTTACCAAAAACAATACAAAAGAATCCCAGTCCTCAGCCCTAGTCTGTCACTATCATCAACGTCAGCTTTGAAACATCAGTTTTTAGTAAGGAAGTTTAGCATACTTATCATTTCTGTGTGCTGTGAACATTTAAAATTCACTCTTTCAGCAATTTTGAAATATACTATACATTATTAACTATAGTCAACATGTCGTGCAATCAACCACCAGAACTTATTTCTCGTAACTGAAGTGTTGAATATTTTGATCAACATCTCCCCTGTTCCCATCCACCCCTTTCAGCTTCCAGTTCCCATCCTACTCTCTGTTTCTGAGTTTGACTATTTTAGATTCCACAACAAAGTGAGATGGTGCAGTATTTATCTTCCTGTGTCTGGATTGCTTCACTTAATTAATGTCTTCCAGTTTCATCTATGTTCTACAATGTATACATGTTTCAAAACATCACATTGCACCCCATAAATATAATTATTATTTGATTAAAAATAAAATTTAAAGAAAGAGAAAAAACAGGTAAGCTAAGGCCTGATCTTAAAGAGACTTGTAATTCTGGAGAAAGATTCAGACATGGGTGGTGACTGGAGGAGTACTTGCCTTCCAGGCGGTATTTGAAGCATGGGGGTGAGTTAGATTGTCCAGGGTGAATGTGTAGCGTGAGAAGGAAAGTGCACCTAGGACTAACCTCTGAGAAATCCTTCAATAAAAGGGACCGATAAAGAAAGAGGAGCCAGTGAAAAGGATTAGGAGAAATTAGTCAAAGGAGAGACAGCAGGGGACAGGGACATAAGTGCTCTAGCTAAGGCAAGAGGTCTGTGTCTTCAACAGGTTGCTGTCACCGACTCCAGAGTTGAATTCAAGTCCATGATTCCTCTAAGACCTCTGTTGACCTCATTAACCAGAGTCAGAGAGAGTCATGGAAAATTAACACTATATACTAGACATTTTCAGAGACGTGAGAATATTAGTTTATCTTTCAAGTTAGGTACCCCAGAACAATCTGAGCTCTGTGGAATTCCTATTAGTGGTTCTAGATAAGACACCAAGAGATTGAAAAGCACACAGTTAAAAAGCATGATCTCACATCATCAAATAAAAAACTCAAAATTATTCCATTAAAGTATGACTGAAGATGCAGATGTAGATATTATAGAGACAATTGCTAAAACATGACCAAGAAATGCAACAAAAAGTAACTTCCAAAGAAAGAAAAAATTGTTCCTCACCTATACACTTTTCAATATCTGGCATGGGTAAGGCTTCTGCTTAAGTGGAAAAGAATGTTTTAAGAATCAGGTGAGCCTGGCTTTTAAAAAAATTTTTCACTAAATCCGAGACTTGAAAATCACTGCAAGTTAACCTTCCTAGCCTCCAAAACAAAATAAGCTCCTTAAAAAATATGATATATAATGTGGGATTGCAAGAGCAATGTGAATATAGCATGAAGAGATTTAAACATTTTAAAAGAGGTTTTTTCCCTCAAGTGTGAGCAAAGCTCTTTTTGGCTTAATATTTTTAGCAAAAAGAAGTCTTGTGTTCAGAAATTCTCACAAAGTATATAGGTAACTGCTAGATTCTTAGACTAGTAATAACAATTTCTTAATAAGTAGTGTCATAGTTTTAACATTACTATAAATTGGAGGATTTTTCTATAATTTTCAAAGTAAAGAAATCAGGCCTGTCTTCTGTAAATATTCCCTCCCTGGTGAATATTTTCCTTCTTTCTCAGTTATTTATCTGAAAAATTTTCCCCTATGCTAGTGGACACTTAAAGGAGGAAATATGAAAAAAATTTAATTTTTTCTTTTTTTTTTGTTCATATGACAATTTATTTATTTATTTATTATTATTATACTTTAAGTTTTAGGGTACATGTGCACATTGTGCAGGTTAGTTACCTATGTATACATGTGCCATGCTGGTGCGCTGCACCCACTAACTCGTCATCTAGCATTAGGTATATCTCCCAATGCTATCCCTCCCCCCTCCCCCAACCCCACAACAGTCCCCAGAATGTGATATTCCCCTTCCTCTGTCCAAGTGATCTCATTGTTCAATTCCCACCTATGAGTGAGAATATGCGGTGTTTGGTTTTTTGTTCTTGTGATAGTTTACTGAGAATGATGATTTCCAATTTCATCCATGTCCCTACAAAGGACATGAACTCATCATTTTTTATGGCTGCATAGTATTCCATGGTGTATATGTGCCACATTTTCTTAATCCAGTCTATCATTGTTGGACATTTGGGTTGGTTCCAAGTCTTTGCTATTGTGAATAATGCTGCAATAAACATATATGTGCATGTGTATTTATAGCAGCATGATTTATAGTTCTTTGGGTATATACCCAGTAATGGGATGGCTGGGTCAAATGGTATTTCCAGTTCTAGATCCCTGAGGAATCGCCACACTGACTTCCACAATGGTTGAACTAGTTTACAGTCCCACCAACAGTGTAAAAGTGTTTCTATTTCTCCACATCCTCTCCAGCACCTGTTGTTTCCTGACTTTTTAATAATTGCCATTCTAACTGGTGTGAGATGGTATCTCATTGTGGTTTTGATTTGCATTTCTCTGATGGCCAGTGATGGTGAGCATTTTTTCATGTGTTTTTTGGCTGCATAAATGTCTTCTTTTGAGAAGTGTCTGTTCATGTCCTTCACCCACTTTTTGACGGGGTTGTTTGTTTTTTTCTTGTAAATTTGTTTGAGTTCATTGTAGATTCTGGATATTAACCCTTTGTCAGATGAGTAGGTTGCGAAAATTTTCTCCC
Source organism: Homo sapiens (assembly GCF_000001405.40). Taxonomy (NCBI): domain Eukaryota; kingdom Metazoa; phylum Chordata; class Mammalia; order Primates; family Hominidae; genus Homo; species Homo sapiens. Next base: position 91,505,709 of record NC_000015.10, on the reverse strand, counting down.
ATTTTGTAGGTTGCCTGTTCACTCTGATGGTAGTTTCTTTTGCTGTGCAGAAGCTCTTTAGTTTAATTAGATCCCATTTGTCAATGTTGTCTTTTGTTGCCATTGCTTTTGGTGTTTTAGACATGAAGCCCTTGCCCATGCCTATGTCCTGAATGGTATTGCCTAGGTTTTCTTCTAGGGTTTTTATGGTTTTAGGTCTAACGTTTAAGTCTTTAATCCATCTTGAATTGATTTTTGTGTAAGGTGTAAGGATGGGATCCAGTTTCAGCTTTCTACATATGGCTAGCCAGTTTTCCCAGCACCATTTATTAAATAGGGAATCCTTTCCCCATTGTTTGTTTTTCTCAGGTTTGTCAAAGATCAGATAGTTGTAGATATGCAGCATTATTTCTGAGGGCTCTGTCCTGTTCCACTGATCTATATCTGTGTTTTGGTACCAGTACCATGCTGTTTTGGTTACTGTAGCCTTGTAGTATAGTTTGAAGTCAAGTAGTGTGATGTCTCCAGCTTTGTTCTTTTGGCTTAGGATTGACTTGGCGATGCGGGCTCTTTTTTGGTTTCATGTGAACTTTAAAGTAGTTTTTTCCAATTCTGTGAAGAAAGGCATTGGTAGCTTGATGGGGATGGCATTGAATCTGTAAATTACCTTGGGCAGTATGGCCATTTTCACGATATTGATTCTTCCTACCCATGAACATGGAATGTTCTTCCATTTGTTTGTATCCTCTTTTATTTCCTTGAGCAGTGGTTTGTAGTTCTCCTTGAAGAGGTCCTTCACATCCCTTGTAAGTTGGATTCCTAGGTATTTTATTCTCTTTGAAGCAATTGTGAATGGGAGTTCACTCATGATTTGGCTCTCTGTTTGTCTGTTGTTGGTGTATAAGAATGCTTGTGATTTTTGTACATTGATTTTGTATCCTGAGACTTTGCTGAAGTTGCTTATCAGCTTAAGGAGATTTTGGGCTGAGACGATGGGGTTTTCTAGATATACAATCATGTCGTCTGCAAACAGGGACAATTTGACTTCCTCTTTTCCTAACTGAATACCCTTTATTTCCTTCTCCTGCCTAGTTGCCCTGGCCAGAACTTCCAACACTATGTTGTATAGGAGTGATGAGAGGGCATCCCTGTCTTGTGCCAGTTTTCAAAGGGAATGCTTCCAGTTTTTGCCCATTCAGTATGATATTGGCTGTGGGTTTGTCATAGATAGCTCTTATAATTTTGAAATACGTCCCATCAATACCTAATTTATTGAGAGTTTTTAGCATGAAGGGTTGTTGAATTTTGTCAAAGGCCTTTTCTGCATCTATTGAGATAATCATGTGGTTTTTGTCTTTGGTTCTGTTTATATGCTGGATTACATTTATTGATTTGCGTATATTGAACCAGGCTTGCAACCCAGGGATGAAGCCCACTCGATCATGGTGGATAAGCTTTTTGATGTGCTGCTGGATTCGGTTTGCCAGTACTTTATTGAGGATTTTTGCGTCAATATTCATCAAGGATATTGGTCTAAAATTCTCTTTTTTTTGTTGTGTCTCTGCCTGGCTTTGGTATCAGAATGATGCTGGCCTCATAAAATGAGTTAGGGAGGATTCCCTCTTTTTCTATTGATTGGAATAGTTTCAGAAGGAATGGTACCAGTTCCTCCTTGTACCTCTGGTAGAATTCGGCTGTGAATCCATCTGGTCCTGGACTCTTTTTGGTTGGTAAGCTATTGATTATTGCCACAATTTCAGATCCTGTTATTGGTCTATTCTGAGATTCAACTTCTTCCTGGTTTAGTCTCGGGAGAGTGTATGTGTCGAGGAATTTATCCATTTCTTCTAGATTTTCTAGTTTATTTGCGTAGAGGTGTTTGTAGTATTCTCTGATGGTAGTTTGTATTTCTGTGGGATCGGTGGTGATATCCCCTTTATCATTTTTTATTGTGTCTATTTGATTCTTCTCTCTTTTTTTCTTTATTAGTCTTGCTAGCAGTCTATCAATTTTGTTGATCCTTTCAAAAAACCAGCTCCTGGATTCATTAATTTTTGAAGGGTTTTTTGTGTCTCTATTTCCTTCAGTTCTGCTCTGATTTTAGTTATTTCTTGCCTTCTGCTAGCTTTTGAATGTGTTTGCTCTTGCTTTTGTAGTTCTTTTAATTGTGATGTTAGGGTGTCAGTTTTGGATCTTTCCTGCTTTCTCTTGTGGGCATTTAGTGCTATAAATTTCCCTCTACACATTGCTTTGAATGTGTCCCAGAGATTCTGGTATGTTGTGTCTTTGTTCTTGTTGGTTTCAAAGAACATCTTTATTTCTGCCTTCATTTCATTATTTACCCAGTAGTCATTCAGGAGCAGGTTGTTCAGTTTCCATGTAGCTGAGCAGTTTTGAGTGAGATTCTTAATCCTGAGTTCTAGTTTGATTGCACTGTGGTCTGAGAGATAGTTTGTTATAATTTCTGTTCTTTTACATTTGCTGAGGAGAGCTTTACTTCCAAGTAGGTGGTCAATTTTGGAATAGGTGTGGTGTGGTGCTGAAAACAATGTATATTCTGTTGATTTGGGGTGGAGAGTTCTGTGGATGTCTATTAGGTCCGTTTGGTGCAGAGCTGAGTTCAATTCCTGGGTATCCTTGTTGACTTTCTGTCTCGTTGATCTGTCTAATGTTGACAGTGGGGTGTTACAAGTCTCCCATTATTAATGTGTGGGAGTCTAAGTCTCTTTGTAGGTCACTCAGGACTTGCTTTATGAATCTTGGTGCTCCTGTATTGCGTGCATATATATTTAGGACAGTTAGCTCTTCTTGTTGAATTGATCCCTTTACCATTATATAATGGCCTTCTTTGTCTCTTTTGATCTTTGTTGGTTTAAAGTCTGTTTTATCAGAGACTAGGATTGCAACCCATCTTTTTTTGTTTTCCATTTGCTTGGTAGATCTTCCTCCATCCTTTTATTTTGAGCCTATGTGTGTCTCTGCCCGTGAGATGGGTTTCCTGAATACAGCACACTGATGGGTCTTGACTCTGTATCCAATTTGCCAGTCTGTGTCTTTTAATTGGAGCATTTAGCCCATTTACATTTAAGGTTAATATTGTTATGTGTGAATTTGATCCTGTCATTATGATGTTAGCTGGTTATTTTGCTCGTTAGTTGATGCAGTTTCTTCCTAGTCTCGATGGTCTTTACATTTTGGCATGATTTTGCAGCAGCTGGTACCAGTTGTTCCTTTCCATATTTAGCGCTTCCTTCAGGAGCTCTTTTAGGGCAGGCCTGGTGGTGACAAAATCTCTCAGCATTTGCTTGTCTGTAAAGTATTTTATTTTTCCTTCGCTTATGAAGCTTAGTTTGGCTGGATATGAAATTCTGGGTTGAAAATTCTTTTCTTTAAGAATGTTGAATATTGGCCCCCACTCTCTTCTGGCTTGTAGGGTTTCTGCCGAGAGATCCGCTGTTAGTCTGATGGGCTTCTCTTTGAGGGTAACCCGACCTTTCTCTCTGGCTGCCCTTAACATTTTTTCCTTCATTTCAACTTTGTTGAATCTGACAATTATGTGTCTTGGAGTTGCTCTTCTCGAGGAGTATCTTTGTGGCATTCTCTGTATTTCCTGAATCTGAACGTTGGCCTGCCTTGCTAGATTGGGGAAGTTCTCCTGGATAATATCCTGCAGCATGTTTTCCAACTTGGTTCCATTCTCCCCATCACTTTCAGGAACACCAGTCAGAAGTAGATTTGGTCTTTTCACATAGTCCCATATTTCTTGGAGGCTTTGCTCATTTCTTTTTATTCTTTTTTCTCTAAACTTTCCTTCTTGCTTCATTTCATTCATTTCATCTTCCATTGCTGATACCCTTTCTTCCAGTTGATCGCATCGGCTCCTGAGGCTTCTGCATTCTTCACGTAGTTCTTGAGCCTTGGTTTTCAGCTCCATCAGCTCCTTTAAGCACTTCTCTGTATTGGTTATTCTAGTTATACATTCTTCTAAATTTTTTTCAAAGTTTTCAACTTCTTTGCCTTTGGTTTGACTGTCCTCCTGTAACTCAGAGTAATTTGATCATCTGAAGCCTTCTTCTCTCAGCTCGTCAAAGTCATTCTCCATCCAGCTTTGTTCTGTTGCTGGTGAGGAACTGCGTTCCTTTGGAGGAGGAGAGGCGCTCTGCTTTTTAGAGTTGCCAGTTTTTCTGTTCTGTTTTTTCCCCATCTTTGTGGTTTTATCTACTTTTGGTCTTTGATGATGGTGATGTACAGATGGGTTTTTGGTGTGGATGTCCTTTCTGTTTGTTAGTTTTCCTTCTAACAGACAGGACCCTCAGCTGCAGGTCTGTTGGAGTACCCTGCCATGTGAGGTGTCAGTGTGCCCCTGCTGGGGGGGTGCCTCCCAGTTAAGCTGCTCGGGGGTCAGGGGTCAGGGACCCACTTGAGGAGGCAGTCTGCCGGTTCTCAGATCTCCAGCTGCGTGCTGGGAGAACCACTGCTCTCTTCAAAGCTGTCAGACAGGGACATTTAAGTCTGCAGAGGTTACTGCTGTCTTTTTGTTTGTCTGTGCCCTGCCCCCAGAGGTGGAGCCTACAGAGGCAGGCAGGTCTCCTTGAGCTGTGGTGGGCTCCACGCAGTTGGAGCTTCCCGACTGCTTTGTTTACCTAAGCAAGCCTGGGCAATGGCGGGCGCCCCTCCCCCAGCCTCGCTGCCGCCTTGCAGTTTGATCTCAGACTGCTGTGCTAGCAATCAGCCAGACTCCGTGGGCGCAGGACCCTCCGAGCCAGGTGCGGGATATAATCTCGTGATGCACCATTTTTTAAGCCTGTCGGAAAAGCACAGTATTTGGGTGGGAGTGACCCGATTTTCCAGGTGCTGTCCGTCACCCCTTTCTTTGACTTGGAAAGGGAACTCCCTGACCCCTTGCGCTTCCCAAGTGAGGCAATGCCTCGCCCTGCTTCGGCTCGCACAAGGTGCGGGCACCCACTGACCTGCGCCCACTGTCTGGCACTCCCTAGTGAGATGAACCCGGTACCTCAGATGGAAATGCAGAAATCACCCGTCTTCTGCGTCGCTCACGCTGGGACAATTTTTTTTTTTTTCTTTCGAGACACTCTCGCACTGTCGCCTGGGCTGGAGTGCAGTGGTCTGATCTCTGCTCACTGCAACCTCCACCTCCTAGGTTCAAGCAATTCTCCTGCCTCAGCCTCCCAAGTAGCTGGGATTACAGGCGCCTGCCACCACACTCAGCTAATTTTTTGCATTTTTAGTAGAGACGGAGTTTCACTATGTTGGCCAGGCTGGCCTCAAACTCCTGACCTTGTGATCCATCCACCTCGGCCTCCCAAAGTGCTGGGATTACAGGCATGAGCCACCACACCCGGCCAAAAATTTTAATTCTTATAAGTTCAAGAAAAATAGAATTAATGCATATGTGGGCCTTAGAAAATATACTCCAAAAGTTTGGCTCTTTGGGATGCCAAGCCCTTTGAACTAAAATAGGAAGGCTTCAGAAAGACTCCTGAGAACAAAGGTCTCTCTCAGGCCTTTTCTTGCCCATGCCCCCACCTCCCGGCCCCGTGTCTCTGATCTGCTTTCTTTCCTCAAGCGCAGGGAGGGACTCTTGGGAATTTTCTGACTATGGAAACTTCTTTCCAAAAGAAATGCAGTTGTCCTAAGAATCTCATCAAATAACCAGGAAAGATTAACCAGTGGAGAAAAGAGGAGACTAAAAGTCTTCACCGCACCCAGATAGGCTTTTCACCTATTCCTCTGAGAGCAACTCAGAGAGACTGCCTGGGAGGCTTTATCTGCATAATGAAACAACCATTGTTCACAGTGAAGTTTTGCTCCTCACCTTGCCCAGAGCTCAGAGGAAATTTGTCCCAGACTATTGTTCTTTGGGCTCATTCATTTGCCCTAAAAATCATTCACTATTTATCTAAAATTACCTACATCCCCCAACTTTCCTCTCCCCTACTAAGAGAGGACTTAAGCCTCAACCTTCTAGCCATTCTTTGAGAGTCATATTTTGGGGAATCCCACATCCATATCCCTGTTAATAATTTGTGTGCCTTTTTATTCTATTAATCTGTCTATTGTCAGTCATTTCAGCAAACTTCAGTAGGTGAAGAGGAAGCTTTTCCTCAACCTCTGCACATGTTTTAGATTGCCCATATATGAAAATCAGCTATCATTACTGTTTTACAACCCTTGACACAGTCAAGTTACGTTGTTAAGACAACAGAAAAATGTTCTCAAATGTGTAAGGGCTTAGAACACACAAACATACAGACAATACATTCTCTAGGAGTATCATCCTGGAAAAAAAAAACAACTTATTTTGAGGCACTGTAAATCTGATTGGAAGATTAATCTAAATTAGGAGCACAAAATTTTATAGTCTAGTGGAAAAGGATTGGTAGTTAGCATCATAACAAATTTAAATAACTCTAAATCATATAATTACAAATATGACTACAAAATGAAGCCAACAGAAATATTCATGAAAGATAAAGCATATAACATGAACATTATAATGTCATAATGATCACCTGGGTCCCAAATTCCCAAATGGCCTTAGATGAAAATTCTAATCCCTCAAAGAAGCCAGAGAGCAACTAGCCCTTTCCTCTGGGGCCCACAACTATGAGATATTTCCCAATTCTCCAGGCCACGGGATAGTGTTCAACAAAGAAAATCACTACAGAGATATGAATTCCACTTCTAGGCCTGCCCATAAAGCCTACCTTGCAATTCTCTTCTCTTTCTTCCCCATCCCCAGGCTGGAAGTGAATACCCAAGGCAGCTTTGGAAGTCCCCAGATGAAGACAGCAGGGCCATCCTCTGGATTGCTAGTTGACTGCAGGAAGCATGATCCATCCCACCCCACCTGTATTCCCCACTGTTGGAGGAACATTTTACATGACTGAAGCATAAAAAATGAATGAAGTATCTTTTTCTGCTAAGCCACTGGGGGCGATTGGATTTTAATTTGCTATAACGGTTAGCTTTACCTTAACTAATATAATATCCTACTCAAAATCTGGAAAAATGAGTGTCTTTGTCAAGAACATCACTATGCTCTGGGGGTTTCTGGGAACAGTTCTAATCCTTGGACCATCAGGATTTATGATCAGCTCTCCTGCAACTTCTCAAAGGTCACAGTAATGTCACAACCCATGACTCTTTTCTCTCTTTTTTTTTTTTTTCCTCTGCAGTATTTCATTGGCAGTGAGGGGAAGGAAGAAAAGGCAAGAATTATACCTGCACGATAAAAGGAAAAAGGCATTTTATCAACTCCTCCCTTAAAAAAAAAATCTGACATGTCTACATAGAAATTGAATCCACAAAGGAGTGGTAAAGAGGAGAAAAGAACATAATTTAATTTATTCTCAGCTAACAGGAAACTGAAATCCATACGGCTTTCCTCTCTCCTGCATGCAAGAAGGGTTGGAGAGCCACATCTGTGAGAAATATGTTTTATGTCAAACTGATTAGGAGAGTCAATATTAGACATAACCTCTTTCTCTTTAAGGGTAGGCAGGCACACTCCATTATCCATTTATTTCTCTGGTGGGGCTTAAAGGGAGGCCTTAATCAACTTGCCTTATAACCTAAAGGCATTTGGAAGAAAAATCTATATTTGTTTCCTTAGTCAGATTGCTGAAGCGTGAAATGGGATGTCTTGTCCTGCTGCCTTTGGTGAAAATGCCATATATTCTGTTTATTTATTTGGAGGGGGAAAACAGGAGATTTGTGGAAAACTTTTATATATTGCCCACTGGCTCTGAGTGATGTGGTTCAAATGGCTAGAGAAAGATAGACAGATGCTTTCACGCAGAAAAGACTCGTACAGCAACTTTTCCCTTAAAACACAGGAAGACAGCCATTGCAGTGGCATCAACGCCAGAACAAGAAAAATTCTTAAATTAGTTCATTCTCACCTAACTTCTTTGGGTATCTTAATTGGCAAGATTACAAACACAAACTACAAACATCATCTGAAAAGTGTCTCACGGCTGAATCAAAAAAAGGAAAATGCAGGCTGGTAGAGGACCTACGCAAAGACCCCAGTCTTAGGACTGGAGGCCTGCTGGAAGGAAATGTGGTGGAGAGGGAGAGGACAGAGGAAGAGCCTCCACTTGGGTTAACCTAGACCTAGCCTGGAGATATGTATAAAACTCTTCATAGAAGGGATTCTGTCTAGCTGCTCTGTCTACCTAGGGAAGTATCTTTTCTCTGTGCCCTGTGTATAGCACACTGGCTGCCAGGAAGCTAAGAGAAGCAGGTTTAGAAAACTGATCATGGCAAAGCAGGGGATTACACAGCAGACAGGGCCCACCCCGTGAGCTCACCACAACTATCATTACACTCTGGATGCCAAAACTTGTCCTGCTGCCTCTACTGACCCTGCATGCTGGATACTGGCCCCAGTGGCACTGCTGCAATTATCCTAACAGATCCTTCCTGATCGCAGCTTCTGTGCACCACTACCTAGGTCCCTATTCAAAGTCTAGGGTGAATACATTTGACTAATGAAGCCTGGGTCTTGTGCAATGCCCTACTGCTTGCCAGGGGGTAAATAAGGGAGTGTCTGGCCTTTGGACATTTAGAGTGGAGGGAAATTCAGCCTCCCAAAAAGATTTCAACTGGAGAATTCCCAAAACATAAGATCTCTAGCAACAGCCTGAAAAATGACAAAAGCTCCCTACAAGGGGACCATTCACTTGGCTCAACTGAACCAGGAGAAATCTTTGGGGAAAGAGGTAAAGTGGAGATGACAGTAAAAGTTCACAGACGAGAGTGACTCAAGTATAAGTGTTTCTGGGGAGATAATGGAGAAATGATGAGCTTATAAATCATTTAACTTAAATGTTCAGTGGAAGGAAAAAGCTCTATTTGAACTTAAAGTAAATATTGACAGTGGAAGATATTACAGGAATATAAATGCTATATTTATTTTAAAGGCTTGTTAACTAACAATAGAATATGAATTTCAGGATCCATATGATAGAATAAACATAGGAGTTGATGTTGGAAATCTATTATAAGAATTCTTGAGAATCTGAACAGGTCAGACAGCTCTCCAGAGCTGCAAGTTTACATGTTTATTAACAGAAATAGCAGATTATCTCAACACAGGAGGAAAAAAGTTCTAATTCTGTCAAGAGTCAGAAATTACTAAAAGACAGTTATATCTGCCCAGAAAAACACCCGTTTGGCTCTAGTTTGAATCAGTCTAAGTCTAAGCTAAGATTGGATATTGCCTCCATTCTTCCCATATAGAGCTAGGGCCTCCAATTTAAGTTCAGTAAACTGGAGGAGAAACACAAAAACGCAATGAGATTTTCTAAACCTCCAGGGTAGTCAGGAGCTGCATTTTTTGGATCTGGGACTATTCGAGGAAAAAAAAATCTGATTGGCAGCCACAACTTTTTCAAAGTAAAATCGCTTTTTTGTCTTGTTTTGTTCTTTAATTATAAAAATGAAGCACACCACCGGGCGTGGTGGCTCTTGTCTATAATCCCAGTACTTTCGGAGGCCAAGGCGGGAGGATTCCTTGAGGCCAGGAGTTTGAGACTGGCCTGGGCAACATAGCAAGACTCTACATCTCCGAAAAGAAAAAAATAAATGACAGATTAATGGAAAGAAGGGAGGGAAAAAGCAAGGTAGGACAGATGGAAGGAAGGGAGGGAGGGAGGGAGGCAGGGATGGAGAGAGGGATGGAGGGAAGGAGGGAGGAAAAGAGCCCGGTTGTAATCATTCAAAAAATGCCAAAAAGAATAAGGAAGAAGTCAAAATGACCTGAATTTTTGCCCCAAAGAAGGACAAAATTCAAATAATAGCTACCTCTTTCTTTACTCCTCTATTTATCTGCATAGAGAGCCACCTACCCTCCAACTCACACTTGAATACGAATGTGTTTTTACCAATGGGAAGCTAATGCCAGATGCCAACACATCTTTGACCACTCTGGTAAAAAATAGCTCCAAGTCTTTTCTTGAGCACCAGATTCCATTACTTCTTCCTACCTTCCTGGAGGCCCAGTATACCGCCCAGGTAGGAGGTCACCAACACCAGAAATACTTCACAAGGCACAGGCTCCAATGGAAGGTAAAAGCTCCTACATAGGCAGAAAAGCCTTGAAGGTTATTCCTGAGTTATTCAAGGGAGCAGCCTTCCCGGTCAGCTCAAAAACACTGTTGAGTGCTGGTCTAAGTGCCCTGAGTTATAATTACTTTTATTGACCGCTATGCAACCATTTTCACTGACTCCATATGTTTCTTTTTATTATTATTATTATTATTATTATTATTATTATTATTATACTTTAAGTTTTAGGGTACATGTGCACAACATGCAGGTTTATTACATATGTATACATGTGCCAAGTTGGTGTGCTGCACCCATTAACTCATCATTTAGCATTAGGTATATCTCCTAATGCTATCCCTTCCCCCCTCCCCCCACCCCACAGCAGTCCCTGGTATGTGATGTTCCCCTTCCTGACTCCATATGTTTCTTCATGACGACATTGTTTTGTACTTTTTTCAGGATTAGAATATTAATTCTAATTAATACAGAAAGTTGTAAGTTGAATATTTACAACTTGCAATTTTTTTCACTGGATCCTAGGTTATTATATACTATATTTATATGGGGAAATTGTATGGTTTCTCCTACAAGACTGCTTTAAAATTAATATCAATTATTGTATTATATAAAAATGATTTACCTTTTTCCAAAAATATTTTCTTACTTGATAGTGATAAATCATTTCACACTAAGATCAGAAATAAGACAAGGATGTCTTCTGTTATCACTCCTGTTAAACAAAATCCATTGCAATAAAGCAAGAGTAAAAAATGGAGAACAGATTAGAAAAAAATAGCGCTGTGTTATCCAAAAAGACATATTTATCTTCCCAAAGAAACCCACCAAAATGCTCCTAGAATTAATAAATTACTGAGGTTGCAGAATTACAAAAGTCAACCATTTTTCTAGATAGTGGCAATCAACAATTGGATTTCAAAATTTAAAGACAGTATCATTTATAATAGCATCTCCTGCCCCATTGAAATACTTAAATTCTAACAAAACGTGCTCAGGAATTATATACTATAAACTGCAAAACACTGCTCAAATAAATCATGGAAGATCTAATTAAGTATAGAGATATAACATATTCTCGGATTGAAAGGTTCAATGTGGCAAATTTACCAATTCTCCCCAGTACAATCCTAACCAAAATTCCAGCAAGCATTGGGTAGATATCAACAAACTGATTCTAAAAAGCAAAACATGCTAGAATAGCAAAATGATTCTGAAAGAGATTTAAAAAATGGAAGGATTTACACTACCCAATTTCAAGCCTTTTATTTAAAATTTTTTTATTTTTTATTTTTTATTTTTATTTTTATTTTTTTGAGACAAAGTCTCACTCTATTGCCAGGCTGGAGAGCAGTGGTGTGATCTTGGCTCACTGCAACCTCCACCTCCTGGGTTCAAGCAATTCTCCTGCCTCAGCCTCCTGAATAGCTGGGACTACAGGCATGTGCCACCATGCCCAGCTAATTTTTGTATTTTTAGTAGGGATGGGGTTTCACCATGTTGGCCAGGATGGTCTCGATCTCTTGACCTCATGATCTGCCCACCTTGGTCTCCCAAAGTGCTGGGATTATTATAAAGATATAGTAATAAAGACAGTAGCAAAAGGATAGACACATAGATCAATGAAATAGAAGAGAAAGCCCCGAACTAGACCTACATAAATATAGTCAATTGATTTTTACACATTTTGTGTTGTTAACACTTGTAGTGATTGCCCTAGGTTTTATAATATACAATTTTAAATAATCTAAGTCCACCTTCAAATAACAGTGTTGCCACACATGTAATGTAAGATCTTACAACAGTGTTTCCCAATTCTTTCTTCTCATCTTTTGCACTATCATTGTAACTCATCTTACTCTTACATACACCATAACCATATAATATATGGTTATTATTACTTTAAACAGTCAAGTTACTTGTTATAGCAAGAAAATATGATAAAGTATATTTTACAGCGAGAAATATGATAAAGCATATTTCCCTTCATTTATGTCCTGTATGCAGATCTAAGTTCCAAACAAATTCTTTGTTTGAAGAACTACCTTTAATATTTCCAGTAAAGTAGGAAATATTACTGAACTTCCTCAGTTTATGTTGGTACACAAAAGTATTTATTTGTTTTTCACATTTGAAAGATATTTCTCCTGGATGTAGAAATCTGTTTTGACAGTTTTTTTCTTTCAACACTTTAAAAATCTCACTCCGTTGTCTCTGGCTTGCATGGTTTCTGTTGAGACGTCTGCTGTAATTCTTGTCCTTATTCCTCCATAGTTACAGTAGTCCCCCCTTACCGTTGGTTCCACTTTCTGCTATGTCAGTTCCCCATGATAAAGCACAATAAGTTTTGTTGAGCTAACTTTGCTGCTTTAAAGAACACCCTTCATTTTCAGATGATGCACGTCCTTTTCTCCTCCTCTCCCCCCTCCTTTCTTCTTCTCACATCCTTTTAAAAATTAAATTGGGATGATATAAAATGTTAGAATTTATTTGTTATTTTGTTTTGTTTTTTCATATCCTTACTTGAGAAAATACAATTTGACAACCTAAAAAATATATATATATTTGGGGAAAGAAATCACATTTACATAAATTTTATTATAGTATATTGTTATAATTGTTCTATTTTATTATTAGTTATTGTTATCAACCTCTTACTGTGCATAATTTATAAATTAAGCTTTACTGTAGAAATGCATGCATAGGAAAAAATCATAATACATATACTATATATGGGGTTTGGTGCTAGCTACAGGTTCAGAGATCCACTGAGGGTCTTTGAAGGTATCCCTCACAGAAAAGGGGGGACTACATTAATGTGCGTTTTCCTCTGGTTCCATTCAAGATTTTTATTTTGTTTTTGGTTTTCAGCAGTTTAAATATGCCTATGTGTGTTGTTTGGTTTTGTTCTTGCATTATCCTATTTAGTGTTCTCTGAGATTCCTGGATCTGTGGTTTGGTATCTGCCACTAACTTGGAACAACTCTCAGCCATTATTTCTTCAAATATTTATTCTGCCTCATTCTTTTTTACTTTCCATCTGGTATTCCCAATAGGCACATGTGAGAAAGTTGTAATTGTCCCACGACTTTTCGATGCTTTTTTTGTTGTTGTTACTGTGTTATTTCCTAACTTTTTCCTTTTGGCATTTTAGTTAGGGTAATTTCTATTGACCTATCTTCAAGTTGACTGATCTTTGCTTTGGCCATGTCGAAAGCATTCTTTACTTCTGTTATTGTGTTTGGTTTTTAATGATATATCACAGTTGTACATATTTTGGGGGTACATATGATATTTTGATATATGTATACGATGCATAATGATCAAATTAGCATAATTGGGATATTCGTCACTTCAAACATTTATCTTTCCTTTGTGTTGGGAACATTACAATTCTTCTCTTCTAGCTACTTTGAAATGCATAATATATTAACTGCAGTGTCCCTACTGTACTATCAAATACTAGAATGTATTCCTTCTATCTAACTGTATTTTTGTACCCATTAATCACTCTCTCTTCATCCATTTCTAGTGCTGTCATTAGTGCTCTCTTACAGCTTTCATCTCTCCACTGAAATTACCTGTCTGATCTTGTATATTGTCTATCTTTTTAACAGAGACTTTAACATATTAATTATAGTTCTATTAAATTCCCCATCCATTAATCCTATTATCTGTGTCATACCTGAGCTTCGTTCTGATGATAGTTTATCTTGTCACAGTGTATTTTTATTGCCATTTGATAAGGCTTATAAATTGTTGGAAGCTAGACATATTATATATGACAGCAAATACTGAGATAAGCACTTTTGAGAGATGAGCGTGCATTTGCTTAAACTAGGCTCTAGTATGAGGGTTCGTGTTAACCTAGTCAGGAGCTGAGCTGTGTTTGAAGTTCATTGTTGCTATAGTTACCAGACTTGGAGTTTATTGTTGATAATGGACACCAGAGACTCCCAGTCCTTCCAGTGATACTTTATTTTTGTCTCTCTGATTGGCTTTGGGTATTTGCTTTGTACTGCTCACCAGAAATACTTTGCCTCTTACAGCTGTCCATGCAAACTTCCCTATTATATTTTTACATGAGCTGGTTAGCATGCTGGTCATGTCGTGTTGGGGAGGAGAACAGCCTCTGACTCAGCATCAGACTTGAGCAGCTACTGGGAACCTAGTTTCAGGGGGGTGGCCTTCACAAGAGTTTCTGTCCTTCCTCCAAAAGTAGAACCTCTTTTGCTCCTGTCCCCACTCCTCAGCTGCAGTTGGTATCTGCCAGCATCCTCAGGCTATGGTTTTAACACCCTGTCCCCTGCAGAATGTGGCTTTTATTTTTTAGCTTAAGGGCAATAAAGAGATGTGTCTGGGCAGAGGTTTGGTGATTGTCTCTATCCTGCCCCCACTCAAGCTGCAATGAGATTCCACCACAGACTTGGCTACAAGCCTCGATAACCTTTCCCTGCAGACTAAACTTTTTGTTATATAGGAGAGATGGGAGACGGGCCTGCCTGAATTTCACATTGGCTGCTGCTGTTTTCATCCCCTAACAACAAGCACCAGAGTTGGAAAGGCGACAGGGAGTTTTCCCTGAATCCTACCCCATCCTCCCTGTGAGTTACTGGAGAAAAGGCCTACACAGGGTAAAAACCTTCTGTATCTGCCTATATCTGCTGCCCTCAAGGGCTTTACCCTCTTCCTCTAGCCCACACTCAGGTTTTAGCAGTTTATTAAAAATTTCTGTTATTCTTAATCCATTGCTCCTTCTATAACAGAATACCTGAGACTGGGTAATTTATAAAGAACAGAAATGTATCTCTCACAGTTCTGGAGGCTGGAAGTCTAAGATCAAAGTACCTGCAGGTTGGGTGTCTCGTGAGGGCTATCTCTGCTTCCAAGATGACCCCTGTTGCTGAATCCTCTGGAGGAGACAACACTGTGTCCTCACATGGCAGAAGAAACAGAGGGCAAGAGAGCCTTACTAGTTTCCTTGAGGTTTTTCTTAAAGGCACTAATGACCTCCTAACGGCGCCACCTCCTAATAGTATCACATTGGTCATGAAGTTTTAATGTATGAATTTTAAGGGGATACATTCTGACCACAACATAGTTTAGTCTCCTAATCTGTTTATATGGCATCCATGGTTGTGTGCCCCAGGCACACATAGGCTTGGGTCCTATTTCACTCCGTAGGCCCCTTTATCTCTCCAGAATTCAATTTAGTTGCCCGCTCTGTCATCTCTCATGTTTTTAAGAAAAGTTAATTTTCCATTTTCCTAGCTTTTTCTTCTTGTAGGATTGAAGTGACTTTTTTTTCAAGCTGTCTACATCTCCAGACAAAAACCAGAAGCCAGGTCAATTGATTTTTGACAAGTTGCAAAGGTAATTTAATGGAGAAAGGATAGGTTTTTCAATAAATAGGACTGGGACCAGTGGGGATCTATATGCAAAATGTGAACCTTGATACATACCTCACAACTTTACAGAAATGAACTCAAAATAGATTGTAGACCTAAATATAAAATGTAAGAAAATAAAACTTCTCATAGGAAAACACAGGCAAAAAAAAATGTATGCCCTTTGTTTTGGCAGTGAGCGTTTAGGTAGGACACTAAAGCATGATTCGTAAAGAAAAAATTACAAATTAGACTTTATTAAAATTAAATATGTTGCTCTACAAAGATATGCAGATGACAAAATAGGCACATGAATATGTGCTCAACATCACAGGTATTAGGAAAAAGCAATCTGAAACCATGAGATACTATTACATACATATTAGAATCACTAAAATAAAGAAAACTGATGATACTGAGCACTAAGGAGGATGCAGAGCTACAGGAACTCCCATTCATTGCTGGGAGAATGAACAATTATACAGCCACACTGGAAGTTTGACAGTTTAACTTTTTCAGCATACTCTTGCCGTACAACCCAGCAATGCCCCCCTTAGGTATTTACTTTGTTTACCAAAGTGAATCAAAAATGTATATCCATACTACCACTTGCACTCAAATGTTTATAGTAGGTTTATTCATAATCACCAAAAACTGCAAACAACCCAGGTATCATTCAATGCATTAATGGATAAACAAACTCTAGTACATTTACTCAGTAATAAAAGAACAATTGATATACAATTGTCTAGCAAGTACATGAAGTGAACAAACCTTGAATGCATTCTGTTCAGTCAAAGAAGCCAGACTCAAAAGGCTGCCTATCGTGTGATTCCATTTATATGATATTCTGGAAAAGACAGAGCTATAGATATGGAAAAAAAAAAAATGATCAGTGGATGGGGGAGGGAGGATTGACTACAAATGGCCACACAAGGAAATTTTCAGGAAGATTAAACTATTAACATTAGGAGAAGCTTGGTTATGGGTATACAGAACTCTCTGAACTATCTTTGCAATTCTTTGGTAAATCTAAAATTGATTTTTTAAAAAAAGTTTGAAAACAAACAGTGAGTCTTAGCTCTGTAACTGATGAGAAATAAAATAGAATTTTTTTTCACATAACAGACTGAATTGTAGAATGAGAAACTCAAAAGACGGCTAGCTTAACTAACTTATACCTTAAAATTTACAGAGCATTAAAGCATTAATTGCCAGTTTTTAAGAACTCATCATGATTCATGATCTATTTAAATAACAGGAAGAAATAAGGAACAAAGTATCTTTTGAAAAATGAAATAAAAGTAAACATAGGAACATGGATATTTATTCTAGAACCAGAAAATTGTTTTGCATGAAAAGGGTAACACTGTTCACTAATTCTCATATCAGTTTACTTCAACAGCGTACAAATCTAGAGAACTTAAAATAGTCTGATTTTTTCTTGTAGGTTAAGTGAATAAAATAATCAAGCGCTCTGAAAATAAAAATTTGGGATGTGTTGTAACTTGCGTATGTTGACAAATATGTTACATTATTTCTGTAATCAATGTGTCCCATTCAACCAGGCTAGGAAACACAATGAGGTTAAAGTTATTTTAAAATTCAAATGAAATGACTCATTCTTTGCAGCCTGTTGGGCCCCATTTCTTGTTGAGAGAAGGTTTTTCTTGCCTCTCTGGGCTCCTTCTGGGTGTGATATTAGGTTGGTGAAAACATAATTGCGGGTTTTGCATTGTTGAAATCTGCTATTTGATATTGGGATACATTCTTAAATAAGTGTGGTTATGTTATATGTCATTTTAATGGGCATTTCTCACTTTATGTTTTTTTTTTGCTAATGACTTATTAATTGCTGTTTATTTTATATTTATTTTAGTCTATGGAAATGATGTTAGGCAAAAAGCAAATTCGAGCAATTTTCTTATTCGAGTTTGAAATGGGTCATAAAGCAATGGAGACAACTCACGACCATCAACGACACATTTGGTCTAGGAACTGCTAACAAACGTACAGTGGAGTGGTGGTTCAAGAGGTTTTGCAAAGGAGACGAGAGCCTTGAAGATGAAGAGCTAGTGGCCAGCCATTGGAAGTTGACAAGGACCAATTGAGAGTAATCATTGAAGCTGATCCTCTTACAATTACACGAGAAGTTGCTGAAGCAATCAACGTGGACCATTCTATGGTCCTTTGGCATTTGAAGCAAATTGGAAAGGTGAAAAAGCTTGATAAGTGGGTGCCTCATAAGTTAAGCAAAAATAAAAAAATTGGCGTTTTGAAGTGTCATCTTCTCTTATGCTACACAACGACACGAACCATTTCTTGATTGGATTGTGACGTGTGAAAAAAAGTGGCTTTAACACAACAACCGGCAAAGACCACCTCAGTAGTTGGACTGAGAAGAGGCTCCAAAGCACTTCCCAAAGCCAAACTTGCAGGAAAAATAGGTCATGCTCCCTGTTTGGTGGTCTGCTGCCTGTCTGATCCACTACAACTTTCTGAATCCTGGCAAAACCATCACATCTGAGAAGTATGCTCAGCAAATCAATGAGATGCACCAAAAATTGCAACGCCTACAGTAGGCACTGGTCAACAGAGAGGGCCCAATTCTTTTCCATGACAACACCTGACCATACATCACACAACCAATGCTTCAAAACTTGAATGAATTGGGCTACAAAGTTTTGCCTCATCCACCATATCACCTGACCTCTCGCCAACCAACTACCACTTCTTCAAGCATCTCAACAACTTTTTGCAGGGAAAATGCTTCCACAACCAGCAGGATGCAGAAAATGCTTTCCAAGAGTTGGTCAAATCCCAAAGCATAGATTTTTATGCTACAGGAATAAACAAACATACTTCTCTTTGGCAAAAATGTGTTGACTGTAATGGTTCCTATTTTGATTAATAAAGATGTGTTTGAGCCTAGTTATAATGATTTAAAATTCACAGTCCAAAAGTACAATTACTTTTGCACCAACCTAATACCTCTCAGTCCTGCAGCCTTTCTCCATCCTAAGTCCTATGACCTTTAAAAGAGGAAACTAGACACCTGTGCCACCTGCCCAGGAGTTGATTGATTTTCAGCTCTGGTTGCTGTCACTGTCAACTAGTGCCCTTCTTGAAACAGGTAATACAACCACTCTGGTGCCATTCTTGTTCCCTGGTTAACAGTCTAAGTCAGTGGTTCTCCACAAGCAGCCCCCTGGCCAGCAGCATCACCACCACCTGCAAGCTTCTTCCAAATACAATTTCCTGACCCCCATTCCAAGACCTACTGAGTCAGAAATTACCTGGTAGAGCCCAGTCACCTGTTTCATCAAGGCCCCCAAGTAATTCTGATGCACACCATGCTACAGTCGAAGAACCACTGACCTCTGGTGACCTGGACACAGGCACATACAAAACATTAAGGACCCAGAGGTCAGGCCTGAAACAAAGGCCTTCAGGGGCCAGGGCTTCCCCTGCACTGCTGGTCTGCCACTGCACTCTCTGGCTATGGAAATAAAAGAGAAAACTGGTCTCTCCTTCAAAATCAAGTTTAACTATGGTAGCTCCACATCATGGTAGGCTTGCTCTTGCCATATGGTTCTTTTGTTACACACACACACACACACACACACACACACACACACGCAGAGTAACTTCCCCCAAAAAATGCCATTAAGCTAACATCAAGGGATCCAGAGGGTTTGTTGTTTTATTTGAGACAAGGTCTCAATCTGTCACCCACGCTGGAGTGCAGTGGTGTAATCACAGCTCACTATAGCCTCCACCTCCTGGGCTCAGGTGATCCTCCCACCTCAGCCTCCCAAGTAGCTGGGACTACAAGTGTGTGCCACCACACCCAGCTAGCTTTTTTGTATTTTTTGTAGAGATGAGGTTTTATCCTGTTGGTCAGTCTGCTCTCGAACTCCTGGGCTCAAGTGGTTCTCCTGCCTCAGCTTCCCAGAGTGTTGGGATTACAGGTGTAAGCCACCTTCCCTGGCCAGTTTTGTCTTAAAAAAACACACACACAAAAAAAACAAACAACAACAACAACAACCACAACAACAACAAAACACAGGCTGTGCCTAGAACTCCCCTCTCTGTCAATCTCACCATCCGAAGAATAGATTCAGTAACCCAACTTGAACCCCAAGGTCCATCCTGAATTTCTCTCCCAGAGAAGTGACTCCCAGGCTGGAAAATTCTCTGAATTTCTCTGAAAATATATGTACACATTTTAAACTATTTTTTTTCTTACAACTTAGAAAAATGTCAATAAAAAAATTGGCACTGCTTTCTGGCCACTACAATGTTACTATCTGGTGTTGTTTGAGAAGTAGCAACACGGAAGCAGCTTTCCGATTTCATACTGAAATTCTGAAATTAGAGCACAACCCATCTCAAAGCCAGAAGGGCCGCATATGAACTGTGGGCTCACCTCTCATTGCTCATCATCACTCTGCTGTAAAGACAAAGCGACACCACAGCAGGTGGCCTCTGTTTTTCATGGCAAAAAGCCATGGGGAGCCTCTGACATCCTGGGTAAACTGAGGTCACTAAAGCACCCATCTAGGGGAGTAGTGCTTTCAGGAGCTTCCCTGGTGATCAGCACATACCACATTATAATTTCAGTGAATGATTTTGTGAGCCACAGGCCCCAGCCCTCTCCTGTTTCAAGTCAGACGAATATAATAGCATCTTGCACGGCCCAGCACGTTGAAGCTTAGCACATCCCCGTGCTAAGTCCAGCCCACGGAACCATGAGCCAGAAAGTCTGGGTTCAACACCTACCTCTCTACTTGTGTTCTCTTCCTCAAATCACTCAACCTTTCTCACTCTGCTTCCTCATTTAGTGAGAGTGGTGATGCCTCTGTGGCTGGGCAATGGTGAGGATAAATGAACGATGTGGAAGAAGGTCTTGGTGAGTACTGAGGTGCTGTATATATGTAAGAATTGATCATTACTCCTCAAGAGCAAAGAGCATGCTGTCTATCGTGTCTTGACTGGGCATGGTCAGAGGTCCCAAGCCCCGTATTGTTCACATCCATTAAAGATCCTCTTGTGATTTGGCCTCCTGGTGATGATATAGGAGTTAAGAAGAAATTACTTAGGCAGATAGCAAGGGAATGGGAGTCCTCAGTAAGGCTTTTCTTTTTAATGAAAAGCAGCCCCAAATCATTTTCTAACAAAGAGCAGCCTGCAAGCTGGGAGCTTGCACGGGTGAATGCCGGCAGAAACTGAGGACCAGACATTTTCAAAATGGGGGCTCCACCGTCCCTTCTCTCCCAGCCACGTGTACTGTAAAGGAGCAGACAAGATGTCCCCATCAACCGGAAAGCCCATTTGCATTAGATTAGGGTGAGGCAACAAGCCTTCCTGACTAGATGCCATACCTGACCGAACCAATCTGTAAATCAGACACCACCTTCTGCAGCCTGCCTACAAAATCTGCTGTGGTTCACTGCCTCCCCCCTTTTTCAGATGTCTCTCTGTCTCTCTCTCAAGGAGATGCTCTCCTCTCTCCTTTCTTCTATTAAACTTTCCACTCCTTAACCCACCCACATGTGTCTGTGTCCTGAATTCTTTCTCAGCGTGCGACAGTGAACCCCAGGGTATATACCCCAGACGGCGTAGCCACTTCCCTGGAGACTGGTACTCTTATGTGAAAGGTCGACGTTCAGATTGTTTCAGTGATGCTTGTTCCTGAATTGGTTGCTGTCTCCTCGCTCATTTGAGTCTCTTGGCTAAGAACACATTTACTTTCACTCCACCTGCAACCCAGGACTCCAGCAGCATCCCCTGCATTGCCTATTCACTGGGGGATTCCCACCTAGAAGATGGCATAGCAGTGAGGCTTCCACTGCCTCTCCCTGCTTCTCTGCCCTTCTCCAAGCTGTCCTTAGCTCTCTGGAGCCTCAGACAACAGAAGAGAGGATTAAACACTTAGAATTATCCCTTCTAATCTCCACCTGTCCATTAAATCCCTCTGTGCCTCTTGGGCCACTGACTCAGCTTCTCTGGGCTTCAGGTCTCAAAACTGATTAGAGATAATGTCACCAGTGAACATTCTCAGGACTTTGTAAAGTTGAACTTATAAAATGTAGAGCATGTAAGATGCCAAGGGCCTTAAGAGGGCTGCAGAAATCTGGCCAGTGGAATTTGTAGCATGCCAAATTCAAACTCACTTCTTGAGCATTTTATGTGTACAGCAAAACATTACATGTTTTCAGCCTCAAATCAAAATCTGAACATTTCTTCCTGGAAGTCCTAGCCAGAGCAATCAGGCCAAAGAAATAAAGGGCATCCAAATTGGAAAAGAGGGAGTCAAACTATCTCTGCCAATGATATGATCTTATACCTAAAAACCCTAGTGACTCCTCCACATGACTCCTAGATTTGATAAATGAATTTAGCAAAGTCTCAAGTTACAAAATCAACGTACACAAATCAGTAGCACTGCTATACACCAACAATGACCCAGCTGAGAATCAAATCAAAAACTCAATCCCTTTTACAATAGCCACAAGAAAATAAAATTCCTAAGAATATACTTAACCAAGTAGGTGAAAGAACTATAAAATACTGCTGAGAGAAATAACGGATGACACAAGCAAATGGAAATATGTCCCATGCTCATGGACTGAAAGAATTAATATCATGAAAATGACCATACTTCCCAAAACAATTTACAGATTCAGTGCAATTCCTATCAAAATACCAATGTCGATTTTCACAGAATTAGAAAAATTAATCATAAAATTCATGTGAAACCAAAAAGAGCACAAATAGCCAAAGCAATCCTAAGCAAAAATAAGAAATCTGGAGGCATTATATTAGCTGACTTCAAATTATATTGTAAGGCTATAGTAATCAAAAGAGTATGCTATTGGTATAAAGGTAGATGCATAGACTATGAAATACTTCTCAGCCATAAAAAGAATGAAATAATATCTTTTGTAACAACTAGAATAGAACTGGAGGCAATTATTCATTTTTTTGACATTTAAAAAATATTTAATCCACAAAATAACAAACTCATTGCATATAAACACACAATTGTCTTCATGAAAAATAACCATGCTTTTTGACCAAGTGCTCACAATCACCCATTACTTATCCACAGAACTTTCATTGACCAAATTTTAATCAGGCTTCTCTCCTCCCCATGGGCCCCTAAAC
Source organism: Homo sapiens (assembly GCF_000001405.40). Classification (NCBI taxonomy): domain Eukaryota; kingdom Metazoa; phylum Chordata; class Mammalia; order Primates; family Hominidae; genus Homo; species Homo sapiens. Next base: position 91,483,081 of record NC_000015.10, on the reverse strand, counting down.
TTCGGCTTGCCCCTAAGTTTCAGCAAGCCCTAAAGCACTAAGGTGTGAAACATCCTCCCTTAAAAGCTCCTTCTGAGAACTGGCTAACCACAAACAAAACATTTCTTGTTGAAGTACCTGATTTCACCACCTGTTCACCTGCCTGCTTGCCCTCCTCCACCACATAGTCCCTGTCATCTCTGCTTACTCTTCCCTATATACAAAAAAACATAACAAAACAAAACAAAAAAAACCTTTTTTCTGTTTGATTTTAAGACACTTGCCAATCCTGAGGTCAAAGTGTTCTCCTTATTGCAATCATCTTTCCAAATAAAGTCTCTCCTTATCTAAGTCTGGTGTTGTTTCTATTTGGCATTTTTAAAATTTATTTTACTTTAAGTCTGGAATACAAGTGCAGGACATATAGGTTTGTTACATAATGGAGGCCATTATTCTAAGTGAATTAACCCAGGAATGGAAAACGAAATACCATATGTTCTCACTTATAAGTGGGTGCTAAGCCATGGGTACACAAAGGCACACAGAGCGGTATAATGGACATTGGAGACTCAGAAGTGGGGAGGATGGGAGGGAGGCGAGGAATGAAAAACTACCTTTTGAGTACAATGTACACTACTCAGGTGATGGGTACACTAAAATCCCAGATTTCACCACTAAACAATTCACTGACATAACCAAAAATCACTTGTACCCCTAAAGTTATTGAAATAAAAAATCTAAAAAATTAAATATTTCTTCCTTTTACATTTTCTCACGGCATTTGATCTATAGGATAGATGAAACCACATCTATTTGAACAGCTATGAAAATGAGATCATATTTATTTGAACATTTGTAAGCAACAATGAGGTTATACTTATGTAAGTACTCAAATATTATTTGGGCAGCATCTCGGTGTAGCTGCTCAGGATTCAAAGATGAATGAGAAACATTCACCACAAATGAGGAATTAGCCAGATGGTGGTGGAAACAGGTTGTTATGAACTGAATGTGACTCCTCCCAAAATTCATTTGTTGTAGCCCTAACCCCCAAAGTGATGATATTTGAATGTGGGGTCTTTGGGAGGTGATTAGGTTGAGATGATGTCGTGAGAGTAGGGCCCGCGTGATGAGGTTAGTGTCCTTATGAGAGGCAGAAGAGACCAAAGCTCTCTCTCTCCCATATCGTGTGAGCACATGCCAAGGAGATGGTGCTCTGCAAGCCAGGAGGAAGGCCCTCACCAAGAACCCAACTACATGAGCACCTTGGTCTTGGACTTCCAGCCTCTAGAACTGTGAGAAAATAAACTGCCTGATGCTTAAGCCACCCAGTCTGTGTTTTGTTACACAGCCTGAGCAGACTTAACATGCAGTTACATAAAATTTAGTGTATTACTGCATCTGGGTGGACATAGCTATACCTCAGGTATATGTAGAGGCAATGGGAAAACAAAGTAAGGAACAACTTTCTTGCTCAGGGGTGGTCACAAGTAGCTTCATCAAGGAGGTAATATTTAAACTGAGACTTGAATTCATTGATTTATTGACTATTTATTACATATTCATTGAATGTTTACTATGCACTTGGTGCTGTTCTAAGTGGTAAGATTATAGCAGTAAACATATATATTAAACACTTTGTCCTTACACAGTTCACTTCTAGGGGAGGTGAAATCATAATGCAATCAGTTACACAAGGAATGAGATGCTTCAGTCATCTGGAGGGTGAGGTGTCTGAGAGGAATAGTAAGAAACAAGGCATTGTTTCAATGGTAGGAAAGGACCAGATTGCGATGGGCCTTCTTTCAGGCCCTTAGGGTTTATTTTCTTGATGGCAAATTTGCAAAGGTTGTATTTGCTTGATGGTGCTTAGGTTTGTAATGCTGGAGTTATGGCTGCAAGACCTCTTTTCATACTGAAATTCCTTTGGGAAAAGTCATTTGTATTTGCAAGTCTGCAACTGCATCCCAACCCTTGTTCTTTACCAAAACTTTTGTTATAAATGTCACAGTTGTGGAGTTTATTAGGAGTGGAACCCTCACCATAGACCAGGATAAACTGTGCTGTGCACAGTTATTTTAGGACCAAGTAAGCCGAGCTGCATGCTGGTTGTTACACCACCAGACTGTGAGCCTAAGAGCAGAAACTGTTTCATAAATTGATCATTGAATTGTAGGCATGAAGCCTGATGCCTGGTACATAGTAGCTGATCAACAATTAGCATAAAATATATTAGGGAGTTTGCCAATTCTGTTGCATGTGATAATTATTCCATTTCAGTACAGCTGTTTACTTTTATTAATTTTAAATATACTGTATACCAGCAATGTTCTAGAAATCATTTTAGGTAACCACTCTACTTTCAAGAAAAGCATGTAAAACATAAAGCATGATCCCTATAGTATTAATCTCACCCATGCCTTCTGTCTCCTGCTTACACAGAAATTTCCGTTCATTAAGACTACAGGGCTCCCCGTGGGAGAGTTTATGCTGACAACTAAGATTTTAGAATCCAATAAAAGAGATAACAATCTCAAATGAAACTAAAAAACTGTACAAATGAAAACACATATTTAAAAAGTAGCTTGAATGACCACTTAGAACAGGGGCCCGTGCAGCCCAGGCTTGGACTGGAGTCACTCTCGCAGACCAGCCATGAAAAATATTAACACATGGCCAGACATGTCTCCCATTTTCAGGTGAATCTGAAAGGGGATGCAATGAATAACCACAGCAGTGCCTCTCACTACTCTCTTCCCCTTGCCTCTTCCTCCCCATCTTTGTCTCCTGGCTCAGTGACCCCAAGGTTTCCCCACCCCTTTTCCCATGATCTCCCCAAATCCCCCCCCAGCCCACCAGTGCCTTGTTTTTGGCCTCTTGCAGCTTTCTTCCCATCTTTATTGTTTTTCCCCACAGATAATTTCTGTTCTTTCCAAAGCAACGCTCACCCTCACATTTCCAGTTTTGTCTTTACCTCCCCATTGCTCCAGTTACTGCAGCCAGAGTCCAGACACCAGACTGTGAGGCCCAGCATCTAAGGTGGCAGCTGCAGAGGGCCCCTGGCTTGAGGTCCAAGCAGGATTCTCTTCATTGTGCAGAGAAGAGGTAAAGATAACAAACACTTGTCATAGAAAACATTTTCCTTTAGCCCTATCACCTATGCAGAGCTGTTTTACTTGCTGAAACTGTCCCAATATCTATTGGAAGAAAATTTTTTAAAAAATTACCTTTTTAAAAAAATATTGTCACTCCTTAAAAGATGCTCTCCAAATAAGGCATAACTGTAATGAAATCCAAACACCAAAACTGATGTGAGACCAAATAAACATAGAGGCAGGGGGAATTCTGAGCCAAGAACAAGGAAGCTAAGAAAAGGAAAGGTGGTTGAAAATAAGGCCCGGAGGTCAGGGAGGCCCAGGTTCATATCCTGAACCCAGAACTTAACATGGGTGGGATTTGGGACTTGTCATGCAATAGTGCTAAAAGCCTCTGTGTCTTTGCTGTAAAAATAATAGAGTAATCTTAAACTGTTAAAGGCATGAAAGAGAAAGTGGTTAGCAAAGAGTTCAGTCCACACTAAGTGCTCCTTGAATGTTAGTTATTATGATGATCGTGTGTATTATACTCAAACCTCAACTCTAGGCCTGTTTATTTCCAGAACATCAGGTTTTGCATGCATTAATGTTATAGAGTGTTTCGTATTTTTTGTGAGACCTTCAATTCTTATTTTAAAGTTTCTTATTTTTCCCCATTGTTTTATGCTTAGATATCATAGCTTATTCTACAATGTATTCTTGGAGTTTTCTATAAGCCTTAAAACAACTGAGATGATTTCAAGTTGCCATCTAGCGGAATACCATATATGAGGTTATTGTCATATGAGCACATACATCCACACACACACACACAAACACTTAGGTACATATGTGTGTATGTGTGTGTATTCTTTAAGCCTTAGTTTGCATTATTAAGTCACCAGCTTCCAGCCAGTTCTCTGACAGTGTCATCACGACAGACAGGCTGAGCTAAGTCCTTTCTAAGGGTGTGCTGGAGGATTTCATATACATTTTTCTATTTATAAAACACTAGTGAAACAATAAGCTATACTCCAGGCAGCCTGAGGAAGTCTTATGAAATTGTTATGATTTGTTTGTGAGATAGAGGACAAATTCCATGGTAATCTTCACCGAATTTTAATAAGGGTGAAAGGAAGACTTAATTAAGGAGTTCTTTGTGGCTTTTTTAAAAAAAAAAAACACAGCCTCTGCAAGCACTTCCCCATGGCGTCTTATCGCTATAGTACAGACACAGTTGCATCTTTATCGTGTGCGGCAGGGGCTGAGGCACAGAGACACATAAAAATAATGGCAATGCATTTATTTTTAAGGACACAACACTGTCTGCTTTTCTTTCAGGCATCCAACTTCTGTGCTTAGATGTCAGTTCCTGTGTTGAAGCATGGGTCCTATCTAACCAGTTTTCTGAGAATCACGGCCATTGCACTTTATAGTAGTTTCCAGAGGATAAATTTTTCTAACTGCGGTTAGGGCGGGGTTGTAAAATAGCATATTTTTGTTTTAAAAATTCGAATGGGGCCTAAAGAGTATTTAAGAGAGTTTAACTCCTGTTGCGACTTCTTCAGCTACTTACCCCTTGGTTGCAACCAGTATAAAAGCTGTGCAACTTGGATGTTCAATGACAAGAACTTGGTTTTAAAAAATTAGGGTACATCCCAGCCGGGCGCGGTGGCTCACACCTGTAATCCCAGCACTTTGGGAGGCCGAGGTGGGCGGATCACGTGGTCAGGAGATCGAGACCATCCTGGCTAACACAGTGAAACCCCGTCTCTACTAAAAATACAAAAAAAAATTAGCCGGGCGTGGTGGCGGGCGCCTGTAGTCCCAGCTACTCCAGAGGCTGAGGCAGGAGAATGGCGTGAACCCGGGAGGCGGAGACTGCAGTAAGCCGAGATCGCGCCACTGCACTCCAGCCTGGGCAACAAAGCGAGACTCCGTCTCAAAAAAAAAAAAAAAAAAAAAAAATTAGGGTACATCCATATGAAGGGATGTTTGCCTTTTTTGTGCAATTTTGAAAAGTGATCTTGGAGAAGAATGTATATTACCATGAAAATAAGTCCACTAAGTGAAAAGAAAAAAAAAAATACAAAGCCACATGGACTACATGATCTAATTTTGCTTAAAACACAAATCAACAGAAGTGATGCGGAAATGTTAGTATTATGGGTGATTTTTACTTTCTTCTTATCTGCATATTTTGTATTATCTACAATGAAAAGGCATTCATTTTGTACTTATTACAAAAAAATCTTTAAAATGCAAGCTATGGTTGTGGTTGTAGAGAAGATGGATTCAAGACACACCACCCTGTCTCTCTCACTGAACGCACCTATAATGCTTGAATAGAATGCAAGAAAGAACTATCTGATGACTGTAACACATGGATGATAACAGGTGGATGGAGAAAGAGAACAGACTTTGAAGTCTGCCTGAACCAGTGGTGAGTTTACCATTTTTTCCCTTCAGTATCATCCATCCTGAAATCAAAGGCATCCTGAAGCCCAGAAATCCACACCAAGTGTGGACAGAAAGGCCACAGGGAGAAGACTTCTCTTGTTCTTGTCTCCCACAGCGATGCCCAAGCAACACTCCAGTGGCACTGGCAGCAGCATTGACAGCAATGACAGCAGTCGTGCACCTAAAACTCTGAGGAAAGGGAACTCTTCTCCCTTATCAAAAAGAACTGTGGTCCTTTGAATTTTCAGTGGATACACATTGCTATATGTGTTTTGCCTCTGTCTCCTCCTGTCACTTGGTCCTAGACGTAGGCACAGTTGCAGTAAGTTTGCATGATATTGGGGAAAATAGAACTCTAGATTTCTAGCCAGAGAACTGAGAAGAGAGGACGCAGGGAATAAGTGTACATTGGTGAAATCACAGAGAGGACAGGGATCAAGAGCGTGACGCCATAAAGTTGTGTATGAACTCCTGAGTGCGCCTCCTACCTGTGCATTTGTCAATCTGAACCTTATCAGCATATCACAGGCTTTGAGAATTGAGCTACGGGGCCACAGACTAGCCACTGGGACTGTTCTCAGCAACAGTGAAAATACTTTGAAAATGGAATTATGCCAGACTCAGAGAAGGCAGGTCAGAATTTGCAGACCAAATGTAATCAGGGTGATTGCATGCCAAAACAACAGCAACAAGAATTACAAAGTTAACATTCTCTTTAGCATTTAAATAAGACCCAGGGTCTCATCATGTCCAGAATATAATCCAAAATTAATTGGCATACAAATAATCAGGAATATCTCATCACAATAAAAAATATAATTAACAGACACCAACTCTAAGGTTACATAAAAGTTAGAGTTAACAGACTTCAAAGCAGCTATTATAACCATGTTCCCCAAATTAGATGGTCTAAACATAACAAATAATAGATTTAAAATGTCAGAATGATTAAAAATAAACCCAAATATATACAGGTACTCCCTTTAAGAAACCCTTTTTATATAGGTGGGTTAAAAGTGAAAGGAAGGACTAAGATATAAAATGTGTACATTAATCAAAAGAAAAGTGGAGTGTCTACATTAATATCAGATGAAGTAGATTTCAGAACAAGGAAAATTACCAGGGATAAACAGAACATAACATAATGGTAAAAGAGTCAATTCATCAAGAACTCCTAATAATCCTAAATGTATATGCACTTAACAACAAAGCCTCAAGCTAAGTGAAGCAAAAACCAATAGACCTGAAGGAAAAGAATGAAGCCACAGTTATAATGGAAGACTTCAACACTCCTTCTTCAGACATAAGTCAAACAAGTAGTGAAAATCATCATGAATACAGACAACTGAACATTGTCATAAACTAACTGCATCTAACTAAAATTTATAGAACATCCCACCCAACAACAGCATAATACACAGTGTTTTCAAGTACACACGAAACATTTCCCAAGGTGGACTATTATTGTATCATAAGACAAATGTTAACAAAAGAATTTGACCGTTTGACTATTGAACACAATAGAATTAAACTAGAAATTACTAAGAGAAATATAACTGAAAAATTTTCAAACACTTGGAAATTAAATAATATGCTTAAATAATCTATGGGCCAAAAAGAAGACTCCAGGGAAATTAGAAAATATTTTGAACTGAATGAAATAAAAATACAAAATATTAAAATTTGTGAGATTCAAACAAAACAATGCTTGGAGAAAAATTTACAGAATTAACTGCTAATTTTTTTAAAAAAGAAATGTTCTAAGTTGATAAACTAAAAAAAAAACAAAATAAGCTAAAAGCAAATGGAAATAATAAAAATAAAAGCAGTAATCAATGTAATAAAAAATGCAAAATCAATAAAAAAATTTAATGAAACCAAAAGCTAATTCTCGAAAAGATGAATAAGACTGATAAACCTCAATCCAGACTGACAAACAGAAAATGAGAGAAAACACAAGAGATTATCACTGCAGACTCCATATACGTTAAAAAGGATAACAAGGGTATAGTACAAACAACTCTATGCACATAAATTCAATAACTCAGATAAAACGCATGGATTCTTTGAAAGCCACAAACTACCAAAACTCACCCAACAGGCAACAAATAAACTGAATTATCCCAAATCTATTAAATGAAGTGAATTCTTAGATAAAAAGCTATCCAAAGAAGAAATCTCCAGGCCTGTTTGCTTTTGCAGCTAAATTCTATCAAATATTTGAAGAATTGACATCAATTCTACATAATCACCTCCAGAAAAGAGAAGAAATGAGAACATTCCTCCCCATCCATTTTATAATGTCAGTATTACCTGGATACCCAAGCCAAATAAAGGCAATATAAGAAAATTTCAGACAAATATTCCTGATGAATATAAATGCAAACATCTTCAATAAAATATCAAATTAAATATATAATACACATGATTAAATATATAACAAATACTAATACACCATAACTAAATAGACTTTGTCCTGTGACTACAATTGTATTAATAGTTCAATATTCAAACATCAGTAAATGTTATTCACCATATTAAGAGACTATAGGAGATAAAACACATGATCATATCAATTGATGCAGAGAAAGAAAAGGAAAATTACAAACTTCAACATCTGTTTGCAAATTTTTTTAACTCAAAAAACTAGGAATAGAACAGCACTTCCTTAACCTGGTAAAGAGCATGTCAGCTAACATCATACTTAATAGTGAAAGTCTTAATGCTTCTCCCTAAGATGAGGTACAAGGCAAGGATGTCAACTGTTACTACTTCTATTTAACCTCATACTGGAAATCTTAGTGCAATTAAGCAAGAAAGAGAAATGAAGCCAAAGTTTCTTAAATTAATAAGAAATTTCAGGAAGTTTGCAAGATGTAAGATCAACATACAAAATTCATTGTATTTCTATATACTATCACTGAACAATTAGAAACTGAAATTTAAAATAAAACATTTACAACAGCATAAAATATAAAAATATGTTGATATTTTGTGTAAATATAACAAGATGTGCAGAATCCTTACAGGAAAACTATAAAACCCAACTGAAAGAAATCAAAGATATAAATAAAGGAAGAGACATGCTGTGTTGCTAGATAGGAAGATTTAGTATAGTAGAAATGTCATTTAAAAAATTAACCTCCAGTTTTATTGCAATTGCACTCAGAATTCCAATAGAAATTTTTGTAGACACAGATATGCTGATTCTATAATTTACACAGAAAGGCAGAAGAAGGAAGGAGAGTAGCCAAAACAATGCTGAAAATAAAGAGCAGAATTGGAGAACTCACACTATGTTATTTCAAGAATTACTATAAATCTACAGTAACTATAAATCTATAGTGACATGTTTGTGTCTACAGTACAGACTCATACATCAATGGAAAATAATAAACAGTACAGAAACAGACCCATATAAACATGCCCAATAGATTTTTAAGGAATGTGCAAAGGCAATTCAATGGATCAAGGATACTGTTTTCAACAAACGATGTTGAAATCATCAAACATTCCTATGCAAAAAACTGAACCTCTGCCAAAACCCTTAAACGAAAATGAATTGAAAGTGGTTTATAATCTAAATATAAAACAAAACATTTAGAAGAAAACATAGGAGAAATCTTCATGATCTGATGTTACGCAAAGAGTTCTTAGACATGATACCAAAAGCACAGTCTATAGAAGAGAAATAATTAACAGATTGGATTTTATCAAAGGTAAACATTTTTTTCTCTAAGATGCCATTAAAAGAATGAAAAGATTACCAGCAGGGAGTGGTGGCTCACGCCTGTAATCCAGCACTTTGGGAGGCCGAGGCGGGGGGATCACGAGGTCAGGAGATCGAGACCATCCTGGCTAACACGGTGAAACCCCGTCTCTACTTAAAATACAAAAAAATTAGCCAGGCGTGGTGGTGGGTGCCTGTAGTCCCAGCTACTTGGGAGGCTGAGGCAAGAGAATGGCGTGAACCCAGGAGGTGAAGCTTGCAGTGAGCCAAGATCGCGCCAGTTCACTTCAGCCTGGGCGACAGAGTGAGAATCCATCAAAAAAAAAAAAAGAATGAAAAGATTACCTATACAATGGAAGAAAATATTTCCAAACCACACAACCAACAAAGAGCTCATATTCAGAATATATTAAAAAAGAAAAACTCTAAAAACTCAATAGTAAGTGTATTAGTCTGTTCTCACACTGCTATAAAGATACTACCCGAGACTGGGTAATTTATAAAGGGTAATTTAGAACTTACAGTTCCACATGGCTGGGGAGGCCTCAGGAAACTGACAATCATGGCGGAAGGTGAAGCAGGCACATCTTACATGGCAGCAGGTGAGAGAGGGCAAGCCTGGGAGAACACAGGAAAAATTACCATTTATAAAACGAGCAGATCTCATGAAAATTCACTCAGGATCATGAGAACAACATGGGGGAAACCACCCCCATGACCTAATCACCTCCCACAGGGTCTCTTCCTTGACACATGGGGATTACGGGGATTACAATTCAAGATGAGATCTGGGTGGGAACACAGGTAAACCATATCAAGAAAACAACACAGTTTAAAACACAGATGAAAGAATTAAGCAGACACTTTATCCAAGGGGAGATAAGGATGAGAAATAAGCACACGAGAAAATGCTCAGCATCATTTACCAGTAGGATAATGTAGATTAAAACCATGATCGGCTATCACATCATGCCTATTAAAATGTCTGAATTTTTTTTTTAATCTGACAATATCAAGTGCTACTGAGGGTGCAGAACATGAACTCTCATATATTGCTGGTGGGAATGCAAGATGGTACAACCACTCTGAAGAAAAATAGCAGTTTCTTATAAAGCCACACATGCACTTACTACATGACCCAGCAATTTCACTCATGGGGACTTACCCTAGAGAAACGAAACTTATATTTCCACACACTCCTGTACATGGATGTTTATTGTGGCCCTATTCATAATTGCAAACTTGGAAAGAACTCAAATGTCCTTCAGAGAAAAGGGCTACTGATAAATGGAACAACCTAGTTAAGTATTTCATTACGCTGAGTAAACAAAGGCAGTCTTAAAAGATTACATACTGTTTGATTTTGATTCCACTGATATAACATCTTAGAATAGTCAAAAGTACGGTGATAGGAAACAGATCAGTGGTTGCCAGGTGTTAGGGGTTGGGGGAGGATGTAGCTACAAAAGGGAAGTGTGAGATTTTGGGGAGTGATAAAACTGTTCTCTATTCTATTGTGGTAGTGACTACACCCATCTATAGATATATTAAAACTCATAGAACTCTATATCCATTAAAAGAGTCAATTTTACTGTAAAACAATTTTAAAAATTTGTATAGGTTATATTTATAGATCTATAAAAATCACACTTATAGACTTATAGATCACATCTATATACCTATATAAATGTCCAGAAACCAAAATTTGGAGCAGTTCTTTTATGTCATTAACTATCCATAACATAAAACACTGATTAACTCACATTTTCCTGATCAATAATCAGCTGTTTTCACCTTTTTTGCTGAAATATTCAGTGTTATATTTTAGTGTTAGATATTTAGATAAACATAAAATTTATTTCTTGAAAATGTATTTACTGAAGCAGCAGAAACATAAAATTAAAGTGCCAGTGATTTCATGTGATAGAAGTCGAACTCTGAGATTTATTCTTCTGTAGAAGAGAGACACAATAATGTCCTCCACACAAAAGCTTGACAGATCAAACTTTTCAAGGAAAGGAAGTTACGTGATGAACAGTTTCATGATCATAGTTGTGTACAGCAGTACATTACCATGTTTATCAAGTCACTGTGTCTAGGTAAAGAACATCCCAAGCAGAGGGAAGACTGTAGGCAAGATTCCTCGGAAACCAAAAAAGGCAATGGGCTGGAGCCCCGAGATGGAGGGGCAAGATGATACCAGAGGATGTGGGAGGACTGGGCAGAGGTCCAATCGCACAAAGGCTAGCTGACTCAGCTAACGGTCCATATTTCATCCTAAGAAGAGTAGGCAATTTTTTGACAGTATTTTCGGTAACATGATCAGATTTTTGTGGGTTTTTTTTTTTTGGTAAAATATACAGAGCATTAAATTTACCATTTTTAAGCATTCGGTTCAGTGACATTCAGTACATTCACGTTTTTCTGCAACCACCACTACCATCCATCTCTCGAGCTTTTTATCTTCCTCTCACACTGAAAGTCCTTACTTATTAAACAATTGCTCTCAATTCTCTCTCCCCTCAACCCCCGGCAACCATCATTCTACTTTCTGTCTCTAAGAATTTGACTAGTAAGTACCTCATAGAAGTAGAATCCTATTTTTCTTTTGTGATTGGCTTATTTAACTTAGTGTAATGTCTTCAAGGTTCATCCATGTTGTCAGAATTTCCATTTTATGACTGAATAATATTTGTGTGTGTGTGTGTGTGTGTGTGTCTATGTGTATCACATTTTGTCTATCATCCATCAATGAACACTTGGGTTGCTTCCACTTTTTATCAATTGTAAATCATGCTGCTATGACCATGGGTGTACAAATACCTGTTTGAGTCCTTTCTTCATTTATTTGGGGTATCTACCCAGAATTGGAATTGCTGAATCATAGGGAAACTCCACATTTAATTTTTTGAGGAACCTCCATAGCATTTTCCGTGGTGACCAGATTTATTTTTAGAAGACTATCCCAGCTATAGTTTGGCAAACAGACGGATGGGTCAGGAATGTCTACAAGGAGACACTTAACAGGCGATTGCAGGAGCCCAGGTGAGAGATGATGGTGGTGGCTTGAAAAGTCAATCAACAGAGAGAGAAGCAGACAAACTTGAGAAATATTCACGAGGTAAAAGTAACAGAACATGGAGATGCATTGGATATTAGTTGCCTGGGGAGAGGGATTATGTAAGGCACCATGAGCCATGTGGCTTTATCCTTGGGTCAAACAGCAATGTCCAGTGACCATGTAAGCAGGGCAAACATGACACTGGGGGACGTCACTGGAGGCTGCGTGACCATCCAGTCTATGGTTGGCTGCCTGGGTTATGCCATATACTGAGTCCTTAAGGAGATTACGATATAGTTAGATTTCAACATTTTCTTCACCAAACGCTATGAGTGAAAGGAAGAATAGAAAGAAACTGACTTATTTTTGAAAACCTACAAGTAGGTACCACTTAGCCTTCCCCTTGTCAAGGTGCGGTGGGGCCCTGCGCACAGCTGCCCCCTGCCTCAGGGACCTCTGACCACATATCACAGAACATTTCTCAGAAAGAGGCCCACTCACAAAGAAAGATAATTCCCAGAAGGGTTAGCAGGTTACCCAAGGTGTTGATGAAACAGGCCAGGTTGCCACAGTTGCTCAGCTGTGTGTGTTTGTTCCTCGTTTGAGTGTGTACAAGCGTTGCCATTGTGCTATAGGAGGGACGGCGTAGGCGGAACTCTCAGCCACAGGGCGGGTCTCCCCCTTACCCTCCCACACGCAGACTCTTCATCAGAGAGAGAGAGACCCAAGAAAGCAGCCATACACATATCCACACAAGGCCAGGCAGTGTGCAGCAAAGTTTACATGTCTGCTTGTTTAATCTTCACAATGACTACGTGACATTATTCAGATAGCCTCATTTCCGTCATTATAAAGATGAGAGAAGTGGAAGTTCAGAGACAGCAAATTATTGCTCAAAGTCACATACCCAGGCGGGGCAGCACCAGGTCCCCTGAACCCCAGGCCCTCCCTCTCACCCTGGCACTCTGCCAAATGACTGCTAATGAGAATATATGCTCTGAAGGAAGATATGAAAAAAATTGCTTCCACTGAGGGTGTTCTGGGACACAGAGGCAGTGGGATCTTAAAGAGAAGGCTTTTCATCGGTGGAGTGGAAGAACAATAGCAGAGTGAGTGGTGTTTGAGGGGAGTCGAGGAAGAGGATGTCTGGACATTTCAGATCAGGGACAGGAACTCAGATGGAACTCTGCTAGCAGTGGGGAGCTTTTGAAGGACTTTGAACAGGAGAGTGAAGTGAGCCAAATATTACTTAGAACCCTCTAAAAACATAACAAGGAATGATAGTCTCTGTTTCAGCTGAGGTCTGATAACAGATGCCATAAACCAAAGTGCGGGGTGAGAGCATCTTGTATGACTTACAAAGAAATTCACCAAAAATTTGGCTGTGACTCTTCATGCCTCACCCCTGCTGAGGTGCTAACAGGTCAGACATAGAGAAGATTATTTTTAGGAGAAAGCTGTCAGCCTTTATAATGGGGTTGAGATGTGAGGTTGTCAGGGCAAAAATGTATATGTGTCTTGCCTGTGGCTAGACGTGGGCCACATGGAGAGACATCTGCCTGGGTCTTCTTCCTCCCACCCAGGAGAGCTGCCCCCAGTGGAAGGGGAGCTATCGGAAGCCTTGGATGCCCAGGAGCTGAGGAGGGAACCATGCTGTGATGCCAGTTTTAACCACCTGCCAAGTCTGAAAGTGCTAATTGAGTAAGCATTTCTGTCCCTAATCCCCCATCCCTCCCACTGAATCACAGGCAGCCTGGTGAGCAGGGGAGAAGGTGTAGTAACTCAGCCCCCTCCTACTGCAAGTAGACACCATGCAGTGGGAGACGGGGGCAACTAGCTTTGCATGAGGATCAAAGTTTTAGTGATCGTGGTGGTGAATTTTATCTGTCAACTTGGCTAGGCACCTTGGTCAGACACCAGTCTAAATGTGGCTATGAAGGTATATTTTGGACGAGATTAACATTTAAATCAGTAAACTTTAAGTAAACCACATTACCCTCCATAATATGGGATGGCCTCATTCACTCCATTGAAGGCCTTAGGAGAAAAAGGCTGAGGTCTCCCAAAAACAGGGAATTCTGCCTCCAGACTGCCTGTGGGCTCTGGGTCTCAGGCCCGCTGGCCTGCCCTGTGAATTTCAGGCTTGCCAGCCTCCACAATTGTGCAAGTTGATTCCTTAAAATATTAGGTTGGTGCAAAAGTAAAATTGCAGTTTTTACCATTGAAAGTAATGGCAAGAAACACAATTATTTTTGCACCAACCTAATAAATCTCTCTGTGTGTGTGTGTGTGTGTGTGTGTGTGTGTGTGTGTCTTCCTATTGTTTCTGTTTCTCTAGAGAACCCTGATTATTACAATTATTATAGTGGCCTGTGTATTAACCACAGAACTAACACTTTTGTGATCAGATTTTTTTTTTATCATCTAAGAATACAAGGACAGGCTGTGGGGTCTGCTTAAGATTTAAACCAAGGGCTGTGGAAGAATTAGCATCATAGAGCAGATTTGAATGGATGGGGGAAATGGATTTTATTCAATCCTAATAGTTTAGTGCATCAGAATAAAGGAAAATCCAATCAAATGAACTATTTAAAGGAGGGTGGGGCAGAGATCCAGTTCTGGAGGCTGCTACAGTAGCCTACACATGGCTCAATAGAGATTTCTGCTTCAGCGGTGACAGCAAGAATGTAAAGGTGTGTGAAATGGAAGAAACCCTGAGGAGAATATCTGAGAGGATATGATGGATTAGATGTGAGCCACGCAGTCAAAGAAGTTGAGGAGAGAGAGGGGAGTGATGATATCAAAGAGGCAAACTGGGAAGCCAGAAGCTCTAATGGGGCAGGGAACTGAGAGGATGACCAGGAGACAACATCCAACTAGCACACACAAGCTCAAAACCAAAGGTCTGGAAAAGAAAAACAGGCCTCAGAATCATCAAGAAGGTGTTACAATGGGAAAGGCACAGATTGTTGAGGACTCAGAGGGGAAGGACTAGAGGAGGATCCAGAGCTTATGGGGCCTGGAGCTTTTAAAATTTGGGAAGGCATCTTTAAGAAAAGAATGCCTGCAGGCCAGGCATGGTGGTTCAAGCCTGTAATCCCGGCACTTTGGGAGGCTGAGGCAGGTGGACCACATGAGGTCAGGAGTTTGAGGCCAGCCTGACCAACATGGCGATATCCTGCCTCCACTAAAAATACAAAAATTTGCCAGGCATTGTGGCACATGCCTATAATCCCAGCTACTCGAGAGGCTGAGGCAGGAGAATCGCTTGAACCAAGGATGTGGAGGTTGCAGTGAGCCGAGATCATGCCACTGCACTCCAGCCTGGGCGACAGAGCGAGACTCTGTCTCAAAAAATAATAAATAATAAAAAAAATGAACATAAATAGAGAAAAGAATGCATGCAAATACAACATGAAGTACACATGTGAGTAATTACTTAAAATTGAAACAAGTTATACATTTTCAAACAGTTGATAAGTACAATCTATACCATAAGATTTTTAAAGATTGCATGATATTTTTAGGATAAACTTCCTGACATCACTTACAATAGTTTTTTCCTATATTTTTGGCTACACACTCCTGGAACCTCTTCACGGGACAAGAATTTTATAATAGTATTTTCTATTGATAGAAAGATAATTCAGTTTTATAGCATGGTTGATTGAAATTTGTTTAGCTATTGATAATTTACAAACATTTCCTTCAACTTCATGATTGTTCTTAGTAATGCCTAGCTCAGGCAAAATCTGCAACTTCACCCACAGAGACACTCACGGGTGGTTGTGTATATATTTCTGCAAATACAGGAATTCTGAGAAACAATCTTTGTCTCAGTTCCCATCAAAATTTTTAAAATATAATTGTATACATTGTACTTTAAGTATCCCTGATAGGCAAGATGATCTGTCTTGAGTAGTCACATTGTACACATCTGATGACTGGGAGGGTTTTCCAGGGACAGGCAATTTAGCATTGTAAATTACAAGCCATGCTTCTTCTCTGGTAGTCACATACTTACAGAACCAGGTGCCATGGGACACATTCACATCACCATAGGACTTTTGGCCCTGCATCTTTGTGTCATGACGTCAGTTGACCCAGCAGAGAGAAGGGAAAAGGTAGCCTTCCACTCTGTGGTGCTAATTCCTCCACACCAGGTCAGCTGACAATAACTCCATTCACAGAAATGCCTGTAAACCATATAAATGGAACTGACTAAATTCATATGACTACATTCTCAGCTCAACCTTCTTTAGCTGGATCCCAAAGGTGTTTTTGCTCACTTCACCACTCTCTGACAAGAAAAGAAGTGGAAGGGAGGAGATAAGGATCTTGCAAATATTGCAATATCAGGTAACCATGTGAACCTATCACCAGGCCTCCTCCCACAGCCTGGGAAGGAGGGTATGCAATGAGGAGCCCTGAGACTCCGGCTCCATTCATTTCATGGTAAATCTGTGACTCATTAGGACAGAACCTAGAGGTACAACCATACTTCAGAAATGAGAGACAGAAAGAGTGCCATAATTAAATTCTAATTTAGAATCATTGTTTCTTTCAGGTGGGTTTAGAAGGTAGATTTTCCTTTCCTTTTAATTTACGCATCAACCATTCATTGACCCTTTGCTAGGCACTGAGGTTATACAAATAAACAAGAATTGGTTCCCTTTTATATAAGACACATAAACAAATACGCTAGCGTGTGTTCAATGATGGAAGCCCCAAGGAGAGAACTGTGCTCACGGCTGGAGTTGCCAGGGAGGTCCAAAGAAGGCTTTCTTAGGCTGGTGCTCCATGTGAGTACCAAAGGGACCACACGAGTTTGCCAGACGGACAAGGAAGGTGAGTGCTTTCCAGGCAGAAAGCCAGATGCAAATGAACTCAGGTGAGATGCAGCAGAGCACGTTCAGGGAAGGGCAATTAGTGTGCAAAGCCCAGAATTTATGGTGCATGATGCAGCTTGCCTAGAAAGGAGCCCAGTGCAAACAGAAAGGCATGCTGAGGTAGGCAGTGTGAGGATAGCTGGAACAGGGACCCCGCAGACAAGAGGTCCAGGGAAGACAGAGCTGCCTGAGCTAAATCAGTGACAGCGATGATGTGCAACAGCAGTCAGGATTTGGTGATAACTGACTACATACTGAACTTGAGGAAGAAATAAGAGTTCAAATGTAAAGACTTCTTTTAATTAGAATAGTAAAATCATTTTATTCGAGAAATTTTCAAGGAAGAAGGAAGGTAAGAGAGTAGTATGATAAACTCCCATGTACCCATCGCCCAGCTTCCATAAGGATCAACATCTTGTCCATTTTGTATACATATCATTCAAAATTAATTTATAAAACTCCAGTCATTATAAAAGTACAGCAACGTCACACTAAACTAAATTTGGCCTGAAGATACCTCCATAACCGAGTTCTTACGTAACAAACTGCAACCTAAGTGAACTAGCTGAAAGCCTAACTAGGAATATACTCTTATGACAAATAACTGAGTCTCAGCCAAGCACATCAGCTGAGCTTCAGTCAATCACAGGTGGCTGACTGGGCATGGTTATTCATGCCTGTAATCACAGTACTTTGGGAGGCCAAGGCAGGAGGATTGCTTGAGTCTAGGAGTTCAAGACCAGCCTCAAAAAAAGAAAAAAAGAGATGATCAACTAATCCAAATAGGACAAGACACCGAGCTTTGTCTCTGATCTTCAATTCTGTTTTCTGCCCATAAACGCTTCCTGACAACATGACAGACTGGAGCTCTTAGTACCTGTTCTGGTTCTCAGAGCTGCCCAATTCTTAAACTGGTCTTTGTTCAAACTCTGTTAAACTTATCTAAGCATTTTAGTTTTAACAGTAACAATATATGAATTAATACACTTTTGATATCAGGTAATTGAGGAGGAAGACATCCAGTGAACAGTGTGGGACAATTAGTTAACTATATGGTAAAATATTAAGTTAGATCCATACCTCATACTATATATAAAAGGCATAATAGGCAAAAAGTCTTTAAATGCTGTTAAACATTAAAATAAAATACAGCTGAATATTAGATAACTAAGTAGATAATTAGATAACCAATTTTATAGTTGGAAAGAACTTTCTAAGCATAAATTTAATAGAAAAATAATTGCAAAATAAAAGAGGTACAGTTTTAACCAAATGACTTTTGTAAAACCTTCTGCATGCTAGTGGTAATGAAAAATAGATCGAGAGAAAAGTGGCAGACTAAAAATGTGTATATATATATATTACAAAGAATTTATTCCTTTACATTATGAAGCACACTTACAAATTAACAAGAAAATACAAACGGGAATTTAACAAAATAGCAAAGAACATGAACAATCCTTAAAAGAAACTACTTAAATCACTTTAAATTTAATCGCTATTTAAATATAGAAGACAAAATCAATCTTACTAATCAAATAAATTACAATGAAGCTGAAAGTCCATTGTTGCTTATCAAATAGACAAAATTTCTTTTTAAAGAGCATGCTTAGAGTTGATGAACTACTGGAAACTGGCAGCCTTATATACCAATCATGGGAGTAGAAAGTGCTATCATCTTTCTGGAGGTCAGTTTGACAGACAATTTCTACCGAGAGTTTTACAAATATTCAGGCATTAACCCATTAATTCCATTTCTAGTAATTATTATTATTATTATTATTATTATTTTAAGACAAAGTCTCGCTCTTGTCCCCCAGGCTAGAGTACAGTGGCGCAATCTCAGCTCGCTGCAACCTCTGCCTCCCAGGTTCAAGCGATTCTCCTGCTTCAGCCTCCCCAGTACCTGGGATTACAGCCCCCTGCCACCACGCCCGGCTAATTTTTGTATTTTTAGTAGAGACGGGGTTTCACCATGTTGGCCAGGCTGGTCTCAAACTCCTGACATCAGGTGATCTGCCCGCCTCGGCCTCTCAGAGTGCTGGGATTACAAGCGTGAGCCACCGTGCCCGTCCCATTTCTAGTAATTATCTTAAGAAAATAATCAAACATGTATACGAAGATATCTGTACAAGGGTGTTCATCGTAGTATTAATGCTAACAGTGAAACATTGGTATATTATTCTGTTCTCCCATTCCTATAAAGAAAAACCTGACACTGGGTAATTTATAAAGAAAAAGGCTCTCATTGGCTCACGGTTCTGCAGGCTGTATTAGAGGCTTGATGTTGGCATCTACTTGGCTTCTAAGGCGGCCTCAGAAAGCTTCCAATCATGGCGGCAGGTGAAGGCAGGGAGCACGCAGGTCACATGGCTGGAGCAGGAGCAAGAGAGAGAGCGAGGGGGGAGATGCCACACACTTTCAAACGACCAGATCGAGTGAGAATTCACTGAACTATCATGAGAACAGCACCAAGAGGATGGTCCTAAAGCATCTGTGAGAAATCCACCCCCCTGATCCGATCACCTCCCACCAGGCCCCATCTCCAACACTGGGGATTATATTTCAATATGAGATTTGGGCAGGGACACACATCCAAACCATACCAACTGGCAACACTGTAAATATTCAGTGGTCAAATGTGAAACTATATTGTAAGTTATGGCAAATTTATGCACGGAATATGGCACAGATATTAAAACATCACATTTTCAAATTCATTAATGGCATACAGCATTGCTGACAATGTATTATAGAAAAGAAAATGACCCACTTTCAATTTTAAAGGGATGTGTGTGTGTGTATATAGTTGCAGTTTTACATATACATGGTTGGCCAGCCGTGATGGCTCATACCTGTAATCCCAGCACTTTGGGAGGCCAAGACAGGTGGCTTGCTTGAGCCTCAGGGGTTTGAGACTAGCCTGAGCAATATAGCAAGACCTCATGTCTATTTTTTAAATAAAAACAATAAAAAATAAAAAATATGTACACATGATTATACATAGTAAAAAGATTGGCATTAAATATGCTAAAATGTTAACCTTGATTATCTCTTACAGCTAGGAATCTGGGTGAATACTGTTATTCCACACATAATTTTCTATATTTTCTACCATGAACAGGCATTACATCTGTAACCATAAAAATAATGTTATTTTGTTTATTGAAGTTCATTTATTTATATTCTGTTTCTAAAATGATTTCAGTATTGGAAAAGGAATTGACTCATTACTTCACAAATATAAAAAGCAATATCAAAATCCATAATGTGAATATTTGTTTGCCTGGGGCCAACTTACCAAATCAAGAACTGCACAAATGAATGAAGTATGCAGCAGATTCAGAGCCTGGTGATGTACTTTGATTTCATACATAATATTGAAACATTTACAGTTATGTCTATAATCTGACCTTAGTGCCCAGCCTCATGAAACAATCTATTTTTCCCTTTTTTGGTCAATGTCTTTCCATACACATGTGTTGAGGGGTGACTGTCCCCTCAAGGAAGAGGAAATCTACTATACTGTGTACCATGCAAATATTTTTCTAGGCTGAGATTATTACTTCCAGAAAAAGGGAGATTACTGCTTTCTAATGTTTTTCAGTTTAAATAATTCTGCTAGTGTGGTCTTTTACATTCAGGTAAAATCTGACTACCTAAAAATTCCTCATCTTGAAATTAGATAAGATATTGGCCTTTCAATTCTGGAGGTCATCATTTCTATCTGTCCCCAGCTCTTTTTTACCTATTTTATCAGCTCCTTGAACTTTTCTACACACAATGCGATGTCCAGAACTCTCTTCCTTACTGATACAGTTATCACATGCCATATCTGTATGCATTTTCTTGAAATGTGGTAACAGATGTGTACACATATGGTTTAATGTGTACAGAATGCAGAGTCACTACCCTCTTCCTGAACGGGACGAACACCAACAATGCAGGTTGTCACATCACACACTGACACATGCATTCAACGTGGGCCAAGAAAACAAAAATATTAATAAAAACAAATTTTCCCAGGGGCTTTTTATGTCAGGTTTTTGTATTCATCTGCTTGGGATGCCATAAAAAAATACCACAGACTGGGTGACTTAAACAATGGACATTTATTTCCTCACATTCCGGAGGCTGGAAGTCCCTGATCAAAATGCTGGCTGATTTGGTTGCAGGTGAGGGCTCTCTTCCTGGCTTACAGACAGCTGCCTTCTCACTATGCCCTCACATGGCCTTTCCTCTGTGTGCCTGCAGAGAGCAAGAGCTTTGGTCTCTCTTCTTCTTCTAAGGACACCAGTCGTATCAGATTTAGGCCCCACCCTTATGACCTCATTTAACCTTAATTATCTCCTTAAAGGCCCTGTCTCCAAACACCACATTGGGGGCTAGGTCTGCAAGATATAAATTTGGGGGAGACACATTTCAGTACACAACAGTTTTGTCAAGTCAAGAGTTACATGTCTAGCAGGGCATGGTGGCTCATGCCTGTGATCCCAGCACTTTGGAAGGCCGAGAGAGGATTGCTTGAGGCCAGGGGTTTGAGACTAGCCTAGGCAACATAGCAAGACTCTGTGTCTCAAAAAAATTAAACAATTTGCTGGGCAGAGTGGCATGCACCTGCATTCCCAGCTACTTGAAAGACTGAGGTGAGAAGATCACTTGACCCCAGGAGTTTGAGGCTCCAGTGAGCTATGATGGCACCACTGCACTCCAGCCTGGGTGACAGAGCAAGACCCTGTCTCTAAAAGGAATAAAGAAATAAAACGTACAATAACCTGCCTAAATATTTCTATTCTTGCCTATCCACAATTACGTCCCCACAGGCTTACCATAATTGTCCTTTAAAAATATGAGTCAGATCAAGTCACTGATCTGCTCAAAGCCCTCCAAGATATTCCCTTTATACTCAAAATACAAACTCCTTAAAGTAATCTACCAGGCCCTGTGTAATTTGGCCCCACTTACCTTACCAAGCCTCCCTTCTTCACTGCATTCTCCAGTAGAAGCCTCCCTTTGGTTCCACATAAGAGGCTGGTCTCTGCCGGCTGCCCTGGCCCTTCCATCCATCTTCCTGGGATGCTTTTGCCAGGTTTGCCCCCTGCACTCTCAGACCTCCACTCAACTACCACCTTCTGTCCCCTTCATCTAAACTCAGTCCCACCTCACTCCATGATCTCATTCCATTTGTTTTAATGCACACATATATATAATAATTGCATTACATATATATGTTATGACTTGCAATTATAATGCAATTATACATGTTACTATTTGCAATTATAATACAATTATACTATAATTGCATTACATATATAAGTTACTATCTGCAATTATAATTACATTACAATTGCATATATATGCAATAACATATATGTACTACCTGCAATTATAGTTTACATTTATTTATTTATTATCTCTCCCTCCTTTTAAAAAATCTCATTAGCCACTGTACTTCCAAACCCTAGAAGCGTGCCTGGCACATAAAAGGTGCTGAATCATGGGTTGGAAAAATGGATCCTGTGTGTAGAATTTTGCAATATTTCCCCTCCTAAGCGCAGGGTTTTACTTTGATCTGGTTAAATTTTATTTCTAACTGTTGATTTCTCTGCTCACTGTTCACTTGTCAATATTATTTTGAATATTACTTTGTTGTTAATCATATTAGATATTTCTCTCAGCTGTTGATCATGAAAAATGTAAGTACTCCCTACAGTTGTATCAAGAAGCAAAAAAATGTAAGTTTCTAATAAGCTGTAAAATATGCAAAAAACTAGTTATGTGTGTTGCCAATATCATATATATGATTATATATGTATGAATATATATATGTTATGGATTGAACTGTGTCCCCTCACAATTCATATGTTGATGTTCTAACCCCTCGTGCCTTGGAATGTAACAGTACTTGCAGATTGGGTCTTTAAATAGGTGATTAAGTTAAAATCAGTCCATTAGGATGGACCCTAATTAATCTGACTGGTATCCTTATAAGAGGAGGGGATCAGGACACAAGAGAGATACCAGGGGCGTGCACACAGGGAAAAATGCACGCAGAGAAACAGAGAAAAGGTGATTATCTAAAAGTCAAGGAGGCAGGTCTCAGGAAAAGCCCTGCCAACTCTTTCATCTGGAACTTCCAGGATCTGGAACTGTGAGAAAGTAAATTTACCTTGTTTAAGCCACCAAGTCTGTGAAGTTTTGTTGTGGCAGGCCAAGCAGACCAGTACTAGATGTAAAATCAGGATAATACACAAAGGCCTGCTTCAGAAAAGAAATCAAAGGTCAGCCTACTTAGGGAAGCAGTAGGAACCATGAGAAAAGGACAAGGCTCCACAGTTGTGCCTTCTCTCTGCCCCATCCCATCCCTAGTTCACATGGGCTGGGGAAGCTGGAAGCTGAGGGCTGGCTGCAAACTAACCAGACGTCCTTCTTTATGCTGTCCCGGAGACAGCCCCAGCCTCTGCCCAAGCTTGGGGCAGGGAAAAAAGGGGACTTGGAGAGCACATAAGAGGGATATTTTACAAATGCCTTAAGAAGCTAAAGAAGACTAAAAACTGCAAGTGAGTGAAAGGTTATGCAATGTGGGCTAAGGTGGTGTTAAGCATTTCTGAAACTCATTGGGGAAAGAGGGATTTCAAAAGTATAGTTTGGAAGATTTCATAGGGGGAAAAAAAAATCATGATTATACCTCAGTGAATGGAGACTCTTCAATTAACCAATGACATTTATTGCATAGGCTAAGTACTTTTTTTCCTACCAAACTGGAACATGAGAAGAAGAGGGCAATTTGTAGGTAGCGTATTACCTGCCATCACTCATGCTTTGCTTATTTTTCATACTGCACTAATATCCTCCCTGGCTGCAGCTGTCTGGGCTGTTTTGGCTTACATATTTCATGGGCATTTAGGTACTGGATGCAAGGATTAAATTTGATGACAAATGAGAAGGTAGATTATAGTGGTGGGATTTTCACAAGTATAAAGCCACCACCTGACCTGCTGAAATCACAAGGGCAGGAATTAATGGCATAGAAGATACCACCATATATTCCTTGGTCACTTTTCGTCTGTCCTTGGAATAAGTTATCAGCTCCCTGCCAACCTCGTGCAAAGGCATGCACAATCTGAATGATATCCACAGAACACTGAATGATACTGTGTCCAATCTGGAAGCACGGGAAGTGGCACTCAGGAAGACATAAATCAGTTTATCATACCCAGACCAAAAAGAAGGAAGCAGACAGGACACAAACATTGATTTAATATGAGAGGCTTTACATATGTTACCCTCCTTTAATCCTTACAACAACCCTCAATTTTCCTGAATTTTATTCTAAAAATGGTGAGGCTCCGAGAGGTTATTATCTGCCAAGGTCACCTAGCTGGTATATGACGAAGTCAGGATTTCGGTCCAGATCCGTGTGACTTCAACCCTTGCTCTTTCCAATATACCCACTTTTTCTCCCTGAATGTTTCTTTAGATGGAGACTTTGCTTAACTGCAGCCTCCAAGAGGCATGAGAAATTCACATGGAGGACTTCTAAAGGAACGGGTGGAAGGCAATGCCTCCTGAGCCTTTGTATGTGAAAGGCATTCTGCTCAGCACTGCAAAGAACACAGAGAAAACCACCTAAAGATGCTCAGAATCTCATGCAAGGGCTGATTTACATGTCACTTTTCTTTGAAATATTTTTTTATTGCCGTAAGGGCACTTAACGTGAGACCTATCCTCTTAAAAAATTGTAGGCATACAATACATTATTGTTGATTATAAAGATATCATACCTCACAATTGTCGGGACGGCTATTACCAAAAAAAAAAAAAAAAAAGCATTCTGTCACTTGAGACAACACAGATGAATGTGGAGGACATTATGTTCAGTAAAACAAGTCAGGAACAGAAATACAAATACCACACAATCTCACCTACATGTAGAATCTTAAAAAGTTGAACAAATAGAAAAAGAGAGTAGAAAAAGAGACTGGGGGTTAGAGGATTGGAGAGATGTTAGTCAAAGAACACAAAATTTCAGTTAGATGGGAGGAATAAGTCGTAGAGATCTATTGCCTATCATGGTGACTATAGTTATTATACACCGGAAAATTGCTAAGAGTAGAATGTAAGCATTCTCACCACAAAAAAAAAAAAAAAAGGTAAACATATGAGGTAGGGCATATGTTAATTAGCTCAATTTAGCCATTCCACAATGTGTACATATATCAAAACATCATGTTGTACACCAAAAATATATATAAATTTGTCAATTAAAAATTAAATTAAACAAAAAACAAGTGTGGGCAAGGATATGGAGAAACTGAAACCAGTGTATGCTGTTGGTGGGACTGCAAAATGATACAGCCGCTATGGAAAACAGTGTGGAGGTTCCTCAAAGAGATAAAAATAAAACTACCACATGATTCAGCCATCTCATTTTTGGGTATATATCTGAAATAATTGAAATCAGGATCTAAAAAAGAGATATTATCACATCCGTGTTTATCGCAGTGAGTAAGAAATTCACAATAGCCAAGATAAGGAAAGGACCCATATGTTCACTGACAGATGAATGGATAAAGAAATTGTGGTATATACATACAATGAAATACTATTCAGCTTTTAAAAAGTGAAAAATTCTGCAATATGCAACAACATGGATGAACATTGAGGACATTATGCTAAGTGAAATAAGTTACACACAAAAAGACAAGTACTACATGATTCCACCTCCATGAGTCATCTAAAATGGTCAAATTCTTAAAATCAAAGACTAGAATGGTGGTTACCAAGGGCTTGGAGCAGAGGCAAATGAAATGTATTAATCGGTTTTTTTGAGAAGGTCATGGCAGACGAGAGGCAGGACTAGATTGCAGCTCCCACTCAGATGGACAGAGCAGTGTGTGTAGTCTCGCATTGTAAACTTTTGCTCCAGAACTACTGCAGAAATAATTCAGGAAAGCCAAGAGAACCCACGGACCCTCTGAAGGAAGCAAATTGCTCCTGCAGGACCCAGGAGACACCCCAAATACCGTGACTGCCCAAACTCTGGAAGTGAGAAAGGGGGATCTTCTGCCTCTGAACACACATGCTCACTAAGGAACCTGAAGGTCTACAACACGGAAGAAGATTCTGATCTAACCTGGAGCTGAGTCAATTTAGAGAGCCAAGCGAAATACAGGAGTAGAGGAAGCAGCGGGAAAAGCCCCGTGGGCTCTCTGCGTCCCCTGGGTAGCCATTTCCGCCTTGCCTCACAGGGGGCCTTGGGGAGGACTGCCAGAAAAGGACTGGGAAAAGGCCACAAGGAGAAGGAAACCTCCAGCTGAACTTTGTAATAATTCCAACCGCATGAGAAATCTCCTGGCCAGAACTCAAGGGAGGGCATGAATCCTGTGTGCAGACTCCACAGGTGGGGAAGCATGAAAGCCCTACTTACTTTCATAGCTGGGAGGTGAGTAGCCTGGAGCTAGTTCTCAGCCCTGCTCACCCACTGCCTGGAAACAGACTCGGTGCTGTTGGGGGGTGGGTACAGTGAAAGTGAGATCATCCTTTTGGCTTGCATGGGAGCTGGGTGAGGCCTGTGACTGCTGGCTTTCCCCGACCTCCCTGACAACCTACATGACACAGCAGAGGCAGCTATAATCCTCCTAGGAACATAACTCTATTGACCTGGGAACCACACTCCCATCCCCCACAGCAGCCACAGCAACACCCTCCCATAAGGAGAGTCTGGGCTCAGACACACCTAGCCTTGCCCCCACCTGATGGTCCTTTCTACCCACGCTGGAGCTGAAGACAAAGGACTTATACTCTGGGGAGTTCTAGGGCCCTGCCCACCACCTGATCCTCCCTATACTACCACAGCTGATGCTTTCTTGAAAGTGCCACCTCCCTGCAGGAGGCCAACCAGCACAAAAATAGTGCATTAACAACCGAAATTAAGGACCCTCACAGAGTCCATTTCACCCCCCTGCCAACTCCACCAGAGCAGATGCTGGTATCCACAGCTGAGAGACCCACAGATGGTTCACATCACAGGACTCTGTATAGACAACCCCAGTACCAGCCCAGAGCCTGGTTGACCTGATGGGTGGCTAGATCCAGAAGACAGATTACAATCACTACAGCTTTGCTCTCAGGAAGGCAAATCCCTAGGAAAAGAGAAAGTACTACATCAAGGGAACATCCCATGGGACAAAAGAATCTGAACAACAGCCTTGAGCCCTAGACCTTCCCTCTGACACAGTCTACCCAAATGAGAAGAAACCAGAAAACCAACCGTGGTTATATGACAAAACAAGGCTCTTTAACACCCCCAAAAAAAATCACTCCAGGTCACCAGCAATGGATCCAAACCAAGAAGAAATCCCTGATTTACCTGAAAAAAGAATTCAGAGAGTCAGTTATTAGGCTAATCAGGGAGCCACCAGAGAAAGGCAAAGCCCAATTTAAGGAAATTTTTTAAAATGATACAAGAAATGAGGGGAGAGATCTTCAGTGAAATAGCATAAATAAAAAACAATCAAAACTTCAGGAAACAATGGATGCACTTATAGAAATGCAGAATGCTCTGGAAAGTCTCAGCAATGCAATCAAATGAGCAGAAGAAAGAACTTCAGAGCTTGAAGACAAGGATTTTAATTAACCCAATCCAACAAGACAAAGAAAAAAGAATAAGAAAATATGAACAAAGGCTCCAAGAAGTCTAAGATTCTTTCAAACAACCAAACCTAAAAATAATCGGCAATCCTGAGGAAGTAGAGAAATCTAAAAGTCTGGAAAACATATTTGTTGGAATAATCAAGGAAAACTTCCCTGGCCTTGCTAGAGACCTAGACATCCAAATACAAGAAACTCAAAGAACACCTGGGAAATTCACCACAAAAAGATCATAACCTAGGCACATTGTCATCAGGTTATCTAAAGTTAAGATGAAGGAAAGAATCTTAAGAGCTGTGAGGAAAAGCACCAGGTAACATATGAAGGAGAATCTATCAGATTAACAGCAGATTTATCAGCAGAAACCCTACAAGCTAGAAGGTACTGGAGCCCTATCTTCAGCTTCCTTAAACAAAACAATTATCAGCCAAGAATTTTGTATCCAGCAAAACTAAGCTTCATAAATGCAGGAAAGATACAGTCTTTTTCAGAGAAACAAATGCGGAGAGAATTTGCCACTACACCAAGCCAGCACTACAAGAATGCTAAAAGGAGCTCTAAATCTTGAAACAAATCCTGGAAACACATCAAAACAGTACCTCTTTAAAGCATAAATCACACAGGACCTATAAAACAAAAATACAATTAAAGATTAAAAAAAAAGTATACAGGCAACAAATAGCATGATGAATGGAATAGTGCCTCACATCTCAATACTAACATTGAATATAAATGGCCTAAATGCACCACTTAAAAGATAACAGAATTGCAGAATGAATAAGAATTCACCAACCATCTGCTGCCTTCAAGAGACTCACCTAACACTTAAGGACTCACATAAACTTAAAGGGGTGGAAAAAGATATTCCATACAAATGCACACCAAAAGCAAGCAGGGGTAGCTATTCTTATATCAGGCAAAGCAAACTTTAAAGCAACAGCAGTTAAAAAAGACAAAGAAGGACATCATTATGTAATGATACAAGGCCTTGTCCAACAGGAAAATATCACAATCCTAAATATATATGCATCTAACACTGAAGCTCCCAAATTTACTACTAGACCTAAGGAATGAAATAGACAGCAACAAAATAATAGTGGGGGACTTCAATACTCCACTGACAGCACTAGACAGGTCATCAAGACAGAAAGTCAACAAAAAAAATGGATTTAAACTATACCCTGGAATAAATGAACTTAACATATTTACAGAACATTCTACCCACAAACCTCAGAATATACATTCTACTCATCAGCTCATGGGACTTTCTCCAAGATAGACCATATGATAGGCTATAAAAAAGCCTCAATAAATTTAATAAAATTGAAATTATATCAAGCACTCTCTCAGACCACAGTGGAATAAAACCGGAAATCAACTCTAAAAGGAACTTTCAAAACCATGCAAATACATGGAAATTAAATAATCTGCTCCTGAATGATCGATCATTGGGTCAACAATGAAATCAAGATGGAAATTAAAAATCTCTTCAAACTAAATTACAATAGTGACATAACGTATCAAAACATCTGGGATATAGCAAAGGTGTAAGAGGAAAGTTCATAGCCCTAAATGCATACATCAAAAAGTCTGAAAGAGCACAAACAGACAATCTAAGGTCACACCTCGAGGAGCTAGAGAAAAAAGAACAAACCAAACCCAAGCCCAGCAGAAGAAAGGAAATAAGATCAGAGCAGAACTAAATGAAATGGAAACAAACAAAAAAAAATACGAAAGTGAAACAAAAAGCTGGTTTTTTGAAAAGATAAATAAAATTGATAGACCATTAGCAAGATTAACCAAGAAAAGAAGAGAGAAAATCCAAATAAGCTCAACTAGAGACAAAACAGGAGATACTGCAACTGACCACAGAAATACAAAAGATCATTCAAGTGTACTATAAACACCTTTATGTACAAAAACTAGAAAACCTAGATGAGACGGATAAATTCCTGGAAAGATACTAACCTCCTAGCTTAAATCAGAAAGAATTAGATACCCTGAACAGACCAATAATAAGCAGTGAGATTGAAATGGTAATTTAAAAATTAACAACAACAACAACAAGAAAAATCCAGGACCAGATGGTTTCAAAGCTGAATTCTACCAGACATTCGAAGAAGAATTGGTACCAATCCTATTGACACTATTCCACAAGACAAAGAGGGAATCCTCCCTAAATCATTCTATGAAGCCGCTATCACCCTAATACAAAAACCAGGAAAGGCATAAACAAAAAAGAAAACTACAGACCAATATCCCTGTTGAACATAGATGCAAAAATCCTTAACAAAATACTAGCTAACCTAATCCAACAACATATCAAAAAGATAATCCACCATGACCAAGTGGGTTTTATACCAGAGATGCAGGAATGATTTAACATATACAAATCAATAAATGTGATACACCACATAAACAGAATTAAAAACAAAAATCACATGATCATCTCAATAGACACAGCAAATTAAACAAAATCCAGCATCCCTTTATGATTTAAACTCTCAGCAAAATCGGCATACAAGAGGCATAACTCAATGTAATAAAAGCCATCTATGACAAACCCACAGCCAACATAATACTAAATGGGGAAAAGTTCAAAGCATTCACTCTGAGAACTGGAACAAGACAAGGATGCCCAATCTCACTACTTCTCTTCAACATAAGTACTTGAAGTTCTAAAAAGAGCAATCAGACAAGAGAAAGAAATAAAGTGCATCCAAATCAGTAAAGAGGAAGTCAAACTGTCTCTGCTGATGGTATGATTGTATACCTAGAAAACCCTAAAGACTCCTCCAAAAAGCTCCTAGAACTCCAGCAAAGTTTCTGGATACAAAATTAATGTACACAAATCAGCAGCTGTCCTGTACACCAATAGCGACCAAGCTGAGAATCAAACCAAGAACTCAACCCCTTTTACAATAGCGGCAAAAAAAAACAAAACAACAACAACAAAAACTTGGGAATACACCTAACCAAGGAGGTGAAAGACCTCTACAAAGAAAACTACAAAACCCTGCTGAAAGAAATCAGAGACAGCACAAACAAATGGAAACATGTCCCTTGTTCATGGATAGGTAGAATCAATATTGTGAAAATGACCATACTGACAAAAGCAATCTACAAATTTAATGGAATTCCCATCACAATACCACCTTTTCCAGTTCTTCACAGAACAATAAAAAAAAATCCTAAAATTCATATGGAACCAAAAAAGAGTCCACATAACCAAAGCAAGACTAAGCAAAGAGAACAAATCTGAAGGCATCACGTTACCTGATTTCAAACTATACTGTAAGGCCATAGTCACCAAAACAGCATGGTACTGGTACAAAAACAGGCACATAGACCAATGGGACAGAATAGAGAACCCAGAAATAAACCCAAATACTTACAGCCAACTGATCTGTGACAAAGCAAACAGAAACATAAAGTGGGGAAAGGACACTCTATTCAACAAATGGTGCTGGGATAATTGGCTAGCCACATATAGGAGAAAGAAACTGGATCCTCATCTCTCATCTTATACAAGAATCAACTCAAGATGGATCAAAGACTTAAATCCAAGATGTGAAACTATAAAAATTCTAGATGATAACATCAGAAAAACCCTTCTAGACATTGGCTTAGGCAAGGATTTCATGACGGAGAACCCAAAAACAAATAAAAACAAAGATAAATAGCTGGGACTTAATTAAACTAAAGAGCTTTTGCCTAGCAAAGGAACAGTCAGCAGAGTAAACAGACAACCCACAGACTTGGAGAAAATCTTCACAATCTATACATCTGACAAAGGATTAATATTCAGAATCTACAACAAGCTCAAACAAATTAGCAAGAAAAAAAATCCCATCAAAAAGTGGAGTAAGGACATGAATAGACAATTCTCAAAAGAAAATATACAAATGGCCAACATACATACGAAAAAATGCTCAGCATCACTAATGACCAGGGAAATGCAAATCAAAACCACAATGTGACACCATCTTACTCCTGCAAGAACGGCCATAGTCAAAAAAAATAAAAATAAATGGATGTTGGGGTGATGCGGTGAAGGTGAACAGGGTACACTTCTAGTATAGAAGTGTAGGAATGTAAACTAGTACAACCACTATGGAAAACACTGGAGAGTCCTTAAAGAACTAAAAGTGGAATTACCATTTGATTCAGCAACCCCACTGCTGGGTATCTACCCAGAGGAAAAAAAGTAATATGAAAAAGATATTTGCACACCCATATTTATAGCAGCACAATTTGCAATTGCAAAAATGTGGAACCAACCCAAATGCCCATCAATAAACAAGTGGATAAAGAAACTGTGGTATATACATATATATATGATGGAATATTACTCAGCCATAAAAAAGGAATGGATTTTTCACATTCCCAGCAACCTGAATGAAATTGGAGACTATTATTCTAAGTGAAGTAACCCAGGAATAGAAAACCAAACATTGTATGTTCTCACTCATAAGTGCGAGCTAAGATATGAGGATGCAAAGGCATAAGAATGACACAATAGACTTTGGGGACTCAGGGTGAAAGGGTGGAAAGAGTGTGAGGGATAAAAGACTACGAATTGGGTATAGTGTATACTGGTCAGGTGATAGGTGCACCAAAATCTCATAAATCAGCACTAAAGAATTTATTCGTGTAACCAAACACCACCTGTTCCCCAATAACCTATGGAAATAAATAAAATAAAGAAATGTCTTAATTGAAAGGCATAAAGTTTCTGAAATATTTTTTAAAACCACCCCCCACACCCACACACACAACTATCCTTAACACACACACAGTATTTTAGTACACTGTTAATATATATGCCCCTATGTTTTAATTGCCATTAAACCAATCCAAACAGATGAGAACCTGGCCAATGACTGCCATTTCCCTAACTTGAGCGATTGCCAAAAGCATTTGGTTTATTCTGAGGTGATCTCTCTTTCTGACATTTATTTTGGGCTCTGAGAGAGAGTTTTAACCCATAATAGCTGATGGAATGTGATTAAGTGATAGTTCCCAGCCTGTGAAGATGCAGGGAAAAAACAAACAAACAACAACAACAAAAACACCTAAGCAGCATATCAGACAGCATGCCAAAATAATCATTTTACTGCGACTCAAGATACCTTCAAAGAATTGGCCTACCAAAGATTAGCAAGTTAAGAGTTCATGGGAGATATTTGCCATTAGAAAGGGCAGTATTAGACATCACTGCTGCTGGTTAGAATTCACCAAAACTTGAATGAATGGCAACCAGAAGAAACCTTGGCAGGAGGCACTGGAGACTTCAGGAGGAGATATGAGGAGACTTGAAGGGCAATAGCCAACACAGCTGCCAGGGAACACACCTGCAGGGAGGTCTATTGTTTAGCAACCTCATGTAGCACTGAACGTTTAAGTGCTCCTATATTCAGGTAGAATGCTGCTAAAATTGGGGAACATGTATGTATTCATACAGACGATGTTGACAAAACACTTGCCATAATACTAGGCAAAACAAAACCTAACAGGTTTCATTCTATGGTATGATCATAATTATCAAAAACAAAAGCACAAAACTATACAAATAAAGGAGTTAAGATGGAAATACACAAATCTATGAACGGTGATTGCCTTGGCTGGTAGAACGATAAGTAGAGTTTTCTTCCCTTTCTGTGACTTCCAAATTTTCTTGAATAATTACGTGCTTTTACAATAAAAAAAAAACTTACTTTAAAAAGAAGAAATGTCCTTTGTTTTCTTTCTCTCTCTCTCTCTCTCTCTCTCTCTCTCTCTGGAAAGTACACTATTTTCCTCTTAGGAGTTGCCTCACCTGCTGTTTTCTGGTATTCCATTTTCCGTGACCCAAGCCAACACACAATGTTCAGCAAATGAAGAAAACATGAGGGAATTGGTGAGATGAGAGTTAGATTTGGGGGAAGCCAAGTGACTAAAATAAGCAGTTAATTCTTTATCATGTAGTCATTCTGCCTGGCAAACACTAGGTATGCCAATAAGTACTAACACAGTGCCTATCTCTTTTCAGTATTATTTTAAAATGTTATAACACCTGAGCATTATGGAAATTGTTCTTTTTGAAGTAAAACTCAGGATACAATAATCAACAAAGGACTTCCAAGCTGTCTCTAGGAGCAAGTTTTATACACAAATACATATAATTGTTTAATAACCTCATAATTTGTTCATAATTTATTCATAAATAACAAACGTATACATAAGTATAATGTAAATATACATATCCCAAATTAGTAATATTTGGGGAACATTTTGATGGTTCATGTGAAAATAGGACATGTTGAATTTGAAATGGTTATAGGACACTAATGTATTTCTTAATTGTACTTAAAATGCTAAAATGACTCTGAAGATAGCTGTTTATTGCTTAAAAACAAATATTTCCATTACTTTCTAGAATAAGAGGTATCAACAGCAGTAGCAGCAGTACGTATTACATTTAAGAGTTGATGTGGAAATCAGATTGCCTCAACTCAAACCAAATTCCTTAAGTCCGTGACCAAGGGCAAGTTACTAAATCCTTCAAGTCTCACTTTCCTGATTTGTAAAATAGAGTACTTGGAGGTTTGAAATGATTACATGACATAATTAATATTTACATAGTACCTCACCCATATGAGGTCTTAATAAATGTTATCCATTACTGTTATCATCCTTACTATCAAACATGTACCAGTAGAACCCAGGCTCAATTTTTAAATCAGTCCTTTGCTGTAGAAGCCACAAGACGGCTGCATCTGAGAGGATACTGACAGGTACTGCCAGGAAGCCATGTGTACCTGCAGGAGACCAGCACGTGTTGTAGCAGGAAGTTAGAACTCAGAATTGTAAGTTGCTAACCATATTTAAGAATTTCTTGTGCACTCAGTTTTCAATGATGGGAAGAGCAGCTTGAACATTTTGGGGGTGTTAGGTACAGAATGTAGATTTTCCAGCCCTGTGTCCTTTGGAATACAAGCTGCTACTTGTTGTCAATGTTGGAATGAAGGTTTATTTTGGCAAGGATGAGACTGTCTTCCTTCCAGATTCTTGGGAATTTAACATGCCAGATACTAGTGGGCTCAGCTCTCAATGAAAAAGCACAAGAATGGCATCTGGTGGATCTCCATATCCTTTCCAAGAGACCCATTTACCCTCCCTCTCTAGCTCTAATTCTTTTATAGAATAGGACCGAAATAAAATGTTTCTGCATTTCCAAAGATTTTAGTCTCTATGGTATAGGAATTCCAATGCTGAGACCTCAATATGAAAACTAGTCATATTTATGGGAAAACTCCCAGGGTATCTGGTACAAGCAAATGTAGAACCACTCGTTAGCAACATTTCCTCAAATAAGATTCTATGCAGTTTCCATAGTGTTAATAATCCCCACTGAGAGTTAGTTCACAATGAAAAATTATGAACTATATAAGGAAACAAACCACCAGGAAGATTATAAGTACAATATCAGAAAAAATAGCATCCCCCAAATTCAAATTAATAGAATGTTAAGAGGTTACTAAAATATGTATTTTTAAAATTATTAAAGAGATAGGAGAAGGCAAAATAACAACGAAGGAACAGGACATAGTAAAAATAATTAGAGAAACTGGAAAATGAAACAAATGGAATTTCTACAAATGAAAATATAGTTACTGAGATTAAACTCAGTATAGAAATGAAATAGCATATTAAACTAAGGTGACAAAAGAATTACTGAACTGGAAGCTAGAATTAAAAAGAAGGTAAACAAACAGAATATGTAAAAGTTTTAGAGAGACATGGAAGATAGAAAGAAAATTTTCAACATTTACCTAGAATAAGTAACGGAAAGCAATAGTAGATAGAATAAGAGTAACACGCCGGGTGCGGTGGCTCCCGCCTGTAATCCCAGCACTTTGGGAGGCCGAGGCGGGTGGATCACCTGAGGTCGGGATTTCGAGACCAGCCTGACCAACATGGAGAAACCCCGTCTCTACTGAAAATACAAAAAAATTAGCCAGGCGTGGTGGTGCATGCCTGTAATCTCAGCTACTAGGGAGGCTGAGGCAGGAGAATCGCTTGAACCCGGGAGGCGGAGGTTGCGGTGAGCCAAGATCACGCTATTGCACTCCAGCCTAGGCAACAAGAGTAAAACTCGGTCTTGAAAAAAAAAAAAAAAAAAAGAGTAACACTTGTTCTTTGGAAGACAATAACTTGGAATTTGATAAAAAAGATATTTTAGAATTGAAAAATATAAATGCTCAGTTTGATAAAGCAAGATATCCAAGCAGTACAAAGAAAAAAAAAGTTTTTATCTAGACACATAACAGTAAAACTGCAGCATCTCAAGATGAAGATAACATCTTTTTAAAAAACCAATTAGAAAAAAATAGTTCCATGCAAAAGACCTACAATTAATATGGCAGCAGACTTCTCATGAGCAACAATAAAGACCAGAAGACAATGAAATAATTTTTAAATTCTGAGAGTAAAAGAAAATCAGTATTCTATATTCAACTAAACATTTTCTACTCAAAAATCCATACATATATACGTGCTCTTTTAATACGGGAGGTGAAATAATAACAAATAATAATTTTCAGACCCATTTTGATAAAGTTTACTATCAACAGATCCTCACTGACAGAGCTCTAACTCAAGGACATACTTGGGTCAGAAAGAATTAAACTGAGAAGTTAGGAGTGACATGCAGGAAATAGTTATAACCAAAAAAAGAAAACAAAAAGCTAAGTACGTAAGCAAATCTAAATAGTATGGGCAAATACTACTACTAATAGTAATAAAAGCGACTCATTTGGATTTGAATTAATAAAACCTAGGTTTTATTAATCTTAGTGAAACTTAATTTTCATTAACTCAGTTCTATTATTTTTATTAATTACATTTATTTTAAAATATAAGAAAGATCACTGAGCTTTAAGTCAACAGATCTTGGTTCTAGTTGCTAGTATTACCGGCTATGTGACTTTGAATACATTGTTTCCATTTGTAAAATGATATTCAGATAAGATCAACATTAAGTTTTCTTTGAAAATCTAAAATTCATGTTTTATTCATATATTACTGTGCTGCTTGCTGGTCATGTTCTCCCACAAGAAAAGAATACAAGAACTCGTAATAATTACAGTGGACCCAAAGAAATACGTTTCTTTGGCTCAAATTCCTGGCTATTGAGCTACATGCTTATTTGTTGCTTTCCAAAGAACATGTGTAACTGGGGCAAATTGCCCTTGAAATCCTCAAACTGATCCACAAGATTTATACCAACGGTATGACAGGGAACACTCACTTTTGATGTTGTTCCTGTTGAACAGTTAATGAGAACTTGCAGCTTGCTGATTCACCACCAAAACCAATCTGCCCTCCAGTCATTTTACATGTTACATAAAACACTGCTGGAGTGAAACTCTCCCAGGGCCTTATGGGAGCCAGAGATGCTTCCTACCATCACTAGGAAATTTTCATAAGGAAAAAAGATGTTGGAAAAAAGTAAACCTATTCAATCTGTATTTATAGAGGGAAAAGAATATGAAATATAGTTTTCCCAAGAAGACATAACAGCATGATTCTGTCTATCCTAGAATGATCCTAGAATCAGATAGGAATGACTTCTGCTCTGAATGAAGTTTGCAGTCTGAGGTCTGAGAATAACATTACGATGAGCCCCTTCTTCAAATGCTCCTTTAACTTCTGTTAAGTTTCTTCAAGTTGGGAAACTATTTCTCTGGTCCTAATCTGCTTACGAACTCCTTGAATTATTGTTTTCATACTAAGTAAGAATGGTGTCAAAATCCCTTATATTCTTGTATGGAAATTACTGCAAACCCTGCTTCTATTCCATTATTCCATTATTTAAAGGGGCACTCGAAGGTCTATGTGCTGGCTATATCCACCGACATTCTTCTGTCCCTCTGTCTACCCTTCTCTCTGCAGATGTCAACGACTGATAATTATGCCAATATATTCATACCTTAGTGCATGTGGTTCCATCCGCCTGGAATTTACTTTCTCCTTTCTTCAAAAGGCAGCTCCTCTTTATTCTTAAAGATGCTGCTTCTTTCAAGAAGCTGCCCCCTAACCTCTCTTAATCACACACTCTCAGATTCTTGCTCCTTTGTGCTCTCCTCAACAGAACATTCTGCCTGTACGGTAGACATCTCTAATAATCAGCAACTTATTGAAATTCCCTCTCCTTCCCAGCACATTAAAGAGTATATTTTCCATTAGTTTGAAGTTAGGCAGGCTATGTGACTTACTTGGGCCAGTGATATGTGAGTGGAAATAATTAGCATCACTTGCAGGCTAAAGAATTTAAGAAATGTAGGTGATTTTCCACCCTTCTTTCCCTGCCTCTCACATCAACTAAGGTCACATGTTCCCTGAAGCTTCAGCATAGTGCAAGTTCCGTGTCTCCGTTTGCCAAAGTGCCACATGAAGAACAGTTGTCATGGAAAAATGCCTAGACCCACAGAACTCTGATTATGTGTGAGCAAGAAATAAGCCTTTCCTTTGGTTAGCCAATAAAACACCGGGGCTGTTTATTGTAGCATATTCTAACCTTCCTGATTAATAGAATATCGCTGTAATAGAATGTACAGCATGTATCTATTTTCTTACCTCTCTTCTTGAGACTGTGAGCTTAGACATTAATTTATGTCTTCCCTGCACCCAGGATAGTAACTGACTTATAGTAGGTGCTTAACAAATTACTTGAATAGTATGACAGTAGGAAGAGTAGCAAGAAGACTTACTGCATTTCTTATGGTTTGGCGTCTCATCACTTTGTACAGCTATAATGTCAGGTGTGGTTAGCAGACAGACAACCATGTAGCAAAGAGTAGACTGTTTCCCTTAAATTAGGCCAAAAATGTCAAGCACTGCCAGCTGAGCTGCACAATTGTGTGCATGATCCAATTTTACCTTTGAGCCTCCTTTCACCTGTAATTGACTGCAGAGATGAAAATCATCACAAACTTTGAAACTGTGCACAATATTCTTTGAAAAAGAAAAGCAGTCATAACTCGTTTGTGCCTTGACTATCAAGGAAGTCAAAACCAGGGAGTTCAGACCTTCCAACATCTTTTCTTCCAAAACTGTCTCAGTTATTCTAGGTTGTTTGCAATTCCACATAAATTTCAGAATGGGCTTATCAATTCCACAAGAAAGAAAAAAGACTGTTGGTATTCTGAATAAGATTTTGCCGAATCTATAAACCAATTAGAAGAAAATAATATCTTAATATTGATTCTTCCAATTTATGAATATGGTTTTCCTATTTTATGTATTCTTTAATTTCTTAATGTTTAATGATTTTTTATGTAGAAGTCTTACAGAAATTTTATTTTCTGACGAAAATATTTTATTTCTGACTGAAAATTATCTGTAATAACTTTCTTTTTATCTTATTTAAATGAAAATGCACAATTTATTATTTCATCTCCCAATTTTTTGTTGCTAAAACATGAAAATATATTTTATTTTGTATATTGAAATTGTATCCCATGTCCTGCTAAAAACAGTTATTCTGTAACTTTAAAATATTCCTCAGATTTTCTAAACACATGATTATGTCACGTACAAATAAATAGAGTTTTGCTTTCTTCCTTTCCATTCTTTAGGCCTTTTATTTCTTTTTCTTTCCTTATGCTACTAGCTAGGACTTTCAGAAAAATATTAAACTGAAGTGATAAAGGTGGACATCCTTGCCTTCTTTCTGGTCTTCTGAGGAAAGGCATACCATATCTCACCACTAAGTATGATGCTAACCATAGGTTTATAGTAAATGCTTTTCACCAAATTAAGGAAGTACTCTTTATTCCTAATTTCCTGAGAGTTACTATCATGAAAAATATGGAATTTTCTCAAATGCCTTTTCTGAATCTATTGAAATGATTGGATTTTTTTATTTGTTAGGTAAATATGGTGAATTATATTTACTTGTTTTTAAATTTTAAACTCTTTGCATTCCTGAGACATACCTCCCTCTTTAATATGATGTTTTATTCTGTCTGTATTCTAAATGATTTGATTTGCTTATATTTTCTTAAGGATTTTTGTGCATATGTCCATAGGTGATATTGACCTACAATTTTCTTTCTTGTCCTTGTCTGATTTGCGTATCAGGGTTGTGCTGACTTCATCAAATGAGGTGGGAAGTTTTCTAGGTTCTTTTGTTGATGTTTTATTTAAAATTTATGAAGTTCACTATTATTTCTTTCTTAAATGTTTGCTACAATGCATCAACAAACCATATTACTTGGATTTTTCTTTGGGAGAAGGTTTTTGATCAAAAAATCAATTTCTATAATAGTTATGGGCTTTTCATATTTTTTATTAACTCGTATTAGTTTTTATAATTTTAGTTTTTCAAGAAATTTGTCAACTTTGCCTGAGTTTAATTTATTGGCATAAATTCACTCATTATGTACTCTTGTTATTCTCTTAATGTCCATAGAATCTGCAGTAATATCCTCTCCTTTATTCTTGAGACTGGTATTTTTAATTTTCTTTAT
Source organism: Homo sapiens (assembly GCF_000001405.40). NCBI lineage: Eukaryota > Metazoa > Chordata > Mammalia > Primates > Hominidae > Homo > Homo sapiens. The sequence goes on along the minus strand of NC_000015.10, from coordinate 91,442,720 downwards.
TTTTCCTAGGGTCTTATCAATTGTATTAATCTTTTCAAAGAACTAACTTGTGTCTTTGTTAGGTTTTTCTGTTGTTTGCTTTGTATTTTATTTATTTCTGTGAATCTTAAATTTCCTCCTACAGAGGCAGGAGAATAGGGTCTGGGGGCAGGGAACCTAAGGCCATTCATGCTGACTTTCTAGAACTAAATCAAAAGGAAAACCACAACTTTCCACACCTAAGTAACAAAAGGACCAGAGGCTAGTCCTTCCTGCTGCCCCCTGTTTTTGTGTGTGGCAGATGGAAAATTGAAAATGTCTCTGATTGGTTGCTTTCCACAACCAATCAGATTGATTGCCAGGCACTACTTCATTTGCACAGGATGTATACCAAGTAAACAATGGGAAACTCTAGAGAGTATCTAAACCCCAGAAAATTCTGTAACCCAGCTCTTGAGCCCCTATGCTCTGCCTGTTCCTAGTTTGCGGAGTGTACCTCCATTTTCAATAAATTTCTGCCTTTGTTTCTTCATTCTTTCTTTGCTTTGTTTGTGTATTTTGTCCAGTTCTTTGTTCAAGACGCCAAGAACCTGGACACCCTCCACCGGCAACACTTTTTCTGGGTTTGATTTGTTCATCTCTTTGAAGTTCTCCAAATAGGAATTTAGATCACTGAACTTAAAACTTTCTCATTTTCTAATATAAGCATTTAAAGCTATAAACTTCCTTCTAGGTATTGGCTGACTTGAATCCCAGAGTTCACATATTTTTATTTCCATTTTCACTCAGTTCGAAATTGTTTCTAACATTCTTCTTTAACCTATACGTTATTTAGAAGTGGATGTTGCTTAATTTCCAAATATTGGACTTTCTCAGATACGTTACTGCGATTGATTTCTAACTAATCTTCCTTTTGATGAAAGAATATGTTCTGTATGATTTCAATGTTTTTAATCTTACTCAGACATTCAATTTTCGGCACATAATCTGTTTGGGTGTCTGTTCCAAGTGGTGTAGTCTTATTTTGATAGATAATTGTTCTATAAATGACAATCTGTTTGTGGATGATAGCATTGTTCAAATGTTCTACATCCTTACTGATGGATTCTCTACTTTTTCCACTAATTACAAAAAGTTGTGTTAAAAATCTCCAATTATGATTTCAGAGGTGTCTATTTTTTCTTTTGAGTTCTGTCAGTTTGAGTTCTCATGTTTTGAAAGTTGATGGTTATCTGAATACATATTTGTAATTGCTATGCTTCTTTGATGAATTAACCTTTTCTTCATTGTCCCTCTACACTTTTGGTAATACACCTTGTATATATGTCTACTTTTTCTGATATCAATACAGCCTTCTTATGATTACTATTTGCATAGTATATCTTTTTTCAATCCATTTACTTTCAACCTTTTTAGAATTAAAACACAACTCTTTTAGTAGCTTACAACCAAAATGCAGCATG